>NC_000020.11:6126941-6278456 GCF_000001405.40 Homo sapiens | reverse complement strand
TGAGCCCAGGAGGTCAAAGCTGAAGTGAGCTGTGATTGCACACTGCACTCCAGCCTGGGTGACAGAACAAGACTATCTCTAAAAAACAAAAAAGTAGAGAAAGATTGGGGACAAAAGAAGAACATACACCTCACAGTTAAATCTAAATGAATCCTTGACATTTCTAGAGAACTCTGTGGTTTATTTCTGTGCCCCCTTTCCTCCATCAGGGAGGAAAACTTTCCTAGCAAACAGACTCACAGACAGAGACATACACCCTTCAGGCTAACACCAGGAAAACTGCAAAGACAAGACTTTGTTGACACCAGAGGCTGTGATGTAGTGAGCCAAAATCACTGCCTGCTGGGCTGAGACAACAAGGCAGTGTTAAGGGGCTGTATTTAGACAAGCACTTGAGCCCACCAAGAGCAAGAAAAACCTATGACTGTCAGCCAGCCCGGTGGATGCACCCGACTTCCCAAACAACAGTATCCCCCAATGCAGCCCAACAGAAATGTTGATTTAAATTATTCGTGCTAATGCGAGTGTGGGATAAGGCGATGTGTTTCTTGGCTTGTTGACAGCAAGCTATGAATGATGTGGTAATGGTATATATATATCCTAGCCTGGATGCCCGAGAAGAAAGGCAGGACTGTGAAATCACAGCAGGATCCTGCCATTTGCTGCCCTGCTGAGTGTGACAGACACACACAGGGCTGTGTCCAGGTCTGTCAGAAGAGGTAGCCAGGCAAGCCCCAGGAGTCCAGAAAAATCCACAAGCTCCTCCCAAAAGATTGTGTGGAGAATACCAAGCAGGAAAAAAAATGTCAACTCTTCATATTTTAATTACAAGTGATAAAAAAATCACTAGATACATAAATCAAATTATTTTTGTCAGGCCCAGGGAAGAGTTTAAGAAATGGCCATAATATGTAGGTTCTTGACTTTGCCCATTAACTTCTTGTGTGACCTGGCTTCAGAGTCCCCGTCTTAACAATAGAATGGGTGATTCTGAGAAACAAAATAACTTACTTTCATGAAGCCAAAAAGGAAATAAATTGTACTTTGAGTTTTAGAAAAAGATAATGGCTCCAAAATTATGGTCCTTAATCTCAAAAATGGTTATAATAAGAGTATGCTTTGAAAAAAAAAAAAAAAAGTTTGGAAACTACGGTACAACTGCCCCCTCCAAATGGCCATAATTTCTATCATGACATCTGATGTAGTTTACTATAGATAAGGGAATTAATTTTGGATGGAAGACACTATCTTTAAAATTACATCTACTTGGCATATGACAGCATAAATGACATTTTTCCCTTTTTTTCCATCACATGATCCTTTGGCCATAGATCCTCTCTTCAGTGTTACCAAATTATAACATTTGAAGCAATGGAATTATGCAATCAAGGACTTGATTTCTATTTAAGAAATATAGTCTGATACTAAACCCACTCATAGTCACAACATGAACTTTTAAGCAGCTCAAAATAACACAAGGAGATGTGTCACTCCATCCTAACTCACGCGATGAGAACATCTCGGTAAGACATTCGCTGCTGCATCCCAGCACCCTCCTACCAAGCCAGCACAATGATGGAACGCGTGTGGCGAACACTGAGAGAAATCAATGTTGCTCATTCCACTGGTCACGTTAGACATCTTCCATGTGGTTCGTCTGTGGGATGGGTTTAGTGGGAATCCCACATGCAGCCTTATGTTTTGGAGGCAGCCCCCTGCCCTTCCTATTCCTGGACTTGGTCTGGTGAGGCAAGGAAAATGCCTTTGTCATACAACACAGGAATAACTCACATTCTGTTTTTAAGTTTGACATCCAATCCTCAGCACTTTTTCATTAAGTATGCTTCTTTCCATTCCTTTTGAAACCTTGCAGTTGGTCTCAACCCCAACAGTAATTCAGTAGGTGCAAGACTTGGTAAAGAAATGATCCCTTAAACTTGACTTCTAGAGAAGGGAGAAAAAACATCATGCTGATTTGTAGAGATTTCTTAAACTCTTTAAATGCCTTGAAAACCCTCCCTTCCGTTTCCCACACCAAGGGTCCCCGAAAGTCTATACAAGAAACATAGCAAAAGCACAGGCTATAGCCCTGGTGTTTTCTTAAAGTGTACGTTTAGTCTGGGCATTAGCTGGGGAAAAAAACTGTATGAAACTGAATCAGATTTTATAGCAAGGTGGTAAAGAGAAAATCCCTTGGGACTGAATTAACTCTGGCAAATTACAGAAGAATAAAAAAAAAATCAGGTGAGTCGTTTTAAATTTATACCCGAGCAAACAAATTAATTTTGCTGTGATTCCAGACCACTTTTTGCCCTCATCTGAGGGGAAGAAGTAGCTCATTTTGACAGCCAAGGATGTAACAACTGCTGGTCTTTATGCACTCGATAATTCATTGAGGTTGCTTTGTTTTTGTTTTTGTTTTTGTTTTTTTAAACTCTAAAAATGTTTGAAATTGAACTACACCCTCATTAGCTGGAAAGCTTAAATTGGTAGCAAGGCCCGACTTCTCTCCTAGAAACATTTTTTTATTCTAGCATCTGACCCGGACTCCTCCCCGCACTGCCAGCCTCATTGGATCCCAAAAAGACAGACACCCACAGCTGAATTTGAGTCCAGACACCATATTTTGGGGAATGACTAAAAATACCAGCCCACCTATTTTTAGCTTGGAGAATAAACATTATCTGTGTGTTTCTTTGGCTCCCAGGAGATTGTTTTTAGTCACAGAATTGAATACCCCTCCTTCCCGCCATGGATTATTTTTAAAATGTGGGCTCAGAAATAGCCCACATACAGAACAGTGAAGGCCTGACTGCCCTCAGAACTAGGAATGTACTGTCCAGAATCAAAGCTGATGCATTAAATATGCCATCAACAGAAGTTAGAGGCCCAGAGAACCAATACGTTTTTATTGAGGACTTGCCATCCTCCAACATCGTGCTAAGATCAACACTTTTGGTTGTAAGAAGCAGTCACTCATAAGCTATCAAATGAACTGGGTGAGAAGTTGTGATGGGAATTAGGGGTGAAGAGAGAATGAATTGATAAGATGGACTAGACTGGAAAGACTATTCAGAGTGTGGGGAAGAGCCTTACTTAATTTAGCCAAATGGGGAAATTCAGAAGAAGTTGAAGTTAATTTCTATTTCTATTTCATTTCTATTTCTGTTGCTCTTTAAACTGCTGGGTCATCCCATGTCAAAGACTGCAGTGATATTGGTGATAAAGAATGTATTCTCAGCATAGTCCTTAAAGGGGTCCCTGTCACAGGTCTCAAGTTTTAGAGAGCTTCACTCTGGGCCTCATCCAGCCACAACCTTCCCTAAGGATGAGCTGTCCATGAGGCCAAGGGAATGTGCCCTCTGGGAGCCCACACTTACTTATCCTCTGCTATCAGTTGATTTGTGTCTTCCAAATTTATACATTGAAGTCCTAACCCCAGTACCTCAGAATATGACCTTCTATAGAAATAGGGTCTTTACAGATGTAATCAAGATAAGGTCATTAAGGTGGACCCTAATCCAATATGACAAGTGTCGTTATAAGAAGGGAAAATGATGCCACAGACTCACACACAGGGAGGATGCCATGTGAAAGTGAAGTCAGAGATCAGAGCGCTGTGTCTACAAGCCAATAAACACCAAAGATCACTAGCAAATCACCAGAAGCCAGAGGAGAAGCCCAGGAAGGATTCTTCCTCACAACTGTCAGAAGGAGCCAATTTTGCTCAAACCTCAATCCTGGACTTATAGCCTGCAGAACTGTGAGACAATAAATTTCTGTTGTGTAATCCACCCAGTTTATGGTACTTGGTCCTAACAGTCTTAGCAAACTAATATAGCCTCCTTGTAGACCAGACCTCACTACTAGGGCTATCCGATCCCTTGGGTCCCTTCTAGGGGCTGCTGAAGGCAGCATATGTCTCTAGTTTGTGCCCCTCTAAGCCCCTCTAAGCCCAAGGGGTAACCAAGGGACAGCTGTTCATGTGGCTTAGATGCACCAGCTTGCACATGAGAGAGCCCTTTGCTGGTACAGGAGGGAGGTGGAGGGATAAAGAGAGGAGCTGCAGGCCTGGACTGAGGTCAGTTCCTCTTCCAATAGAGACTCCAAGGATTGTAAGAATTCTAAATTTGAACCTTGCCTTTTAGGTAAGTAAAGACAATGGTGAATTTATCAAGATAGGAGGCTAAATCGCGTTGTTTTTAATGATTTGTTAGCTTACCTTTTAACTTCTAAATAGTCTTATCTGGGGTCAGTTCTCTGTTCTCTGGCCTCAGTCTCTGTTCTCTGGCCTCCTTCTGTTCTCTGGCTTCAGTCTCATTAAGATTTGGGGAGGGTGGGACTATTTGTTTCAAACCAAGATGCCATAGCCCATGCCAACAATCTGAAATAAACCTCCACCCAGCACCGTCCTTACATTTGGAAATGAAGCCATCACACATCCAAGGCTAAACAAACCCTGTGTCCTCCTGCATAATGAAATTTTACTTGCTTTGTGAAAAAAGACATATTAAATACAAAAACCTAAAAATATAAATTCTTTAGCCAAAGTTTCCCACCAGAGCTGATTATTTTTTAAGAACTTGTATGTTCTAAAGGAAAAAAGAGATAAAAGGCTTTGGAAAGGCCCAATTTTAGACAGCAAAGCCACCTGGGCCCACTTAGTTTCACTGAAGCTCAGTGTTTTACAATTGCATGATCAGTCCAAGAACACTTACCCTTCATTTCAGTGGCCCACCCTCAGCTCACTTAGAGATCTGCCCAGCCAAGACAATTAGAAAACTATGTTACAGGATATCATATAAATGTATATCCACTGATACCGTGGCTTGAGATCCTGAAGTTTGGAGAAGATTAAATACAAACCTACACACTTAATGGTGCCAATTGGTTCATAATTTCAGATGGCTGGAATCTGATTTCAGGACATTTATGACTTCAAGCTTTTCCAAAAGGAAGTTCTTAAGAAAAATATAGATGTAGGGATGGTGAAGCCAAAGGCTAAATCAGGTTATAGAGTGACCCCCAAGGATATGCATTAAAGGAGAATTACATAGCAGCATTAACATGGCGGCCACAGTAATGGTCTTTTTGTAGGTCACGTGTTCAGACAACATTCAGAGAGCAGTAACTGAGAATGTTCTGGATACAAAACAGGAAAAAAGTGGCTGTATAAAACTGTTTTGGGACTTCCCTGTGAGACCCCAATTAGCATTTCGACAAGAGGCCTGGCTCCATTGACATGCACATGAAATAATCCAAGTTCAAGACAAAATTATGTAAAAATAGTTGCTAAAATTTTGCTAAAATCATGTTAAAATAACTTTTTAAACTTTTAATTAAAAAAAAAGAAAACTTATTTTCTGCCTTCTTGTTTGACCTACAAATAGTCTGTCCAATTGCCTTGGAAAGCAGGAAATAGTTAATTAAAAAAAAAAAAAAAAAAAAAAGCAAGCAGGCCAGTTCATAAAAGTGAGCAACAGACTCCAACACCTCATATTCTCACTGCTTTCCCTTATAAAATAATAGAAAAAGCATCATAAAATCAATATTAACTTGTTTAAGGAGCTGTAAAAGAGCTCTCTGGTCATTTGCTCCAACTATAAAATTATCTCATCATCTCAGTGAACTGCCAATCCTTTAAGAACTATCTACTATGGCTGTCTATTAGTCCTTAACGACATAGTTTTATAACTACTGGCATATCTTTCTTAAGGTTGGAGACGAGTTTTTTAAAGCAAACATATCAGGTAGTGCAGTGGAAATCTTTCAAATTTACCAAAAGGTACTCTATACATTCATGCAAACACACAGTGAAACAGTAATAAAACTTTCACACCTCTTTCCCAAATAAAACACCATGAAGTATTGTATAGCCAATGCAATCTCTAGAAACTAACCTCCCCAAATTTTCTTGTACTTTTCATGATAAACTAAAAATATTAAGTCATAGGACCACTCACATGCAATTTCTAGGTCAAAGAATAACGCATATACATTATTTCCCAGCTTTTCTGTTTTACTTTTCTTTGAAGAAACAACTCTCAGTGCCTCTTGACTGGCTTATACTACTAAGATCTTTTTTCCTACTATGTATAGTCCCTAGATCACTGTTCCCTAATTTTGTGGACACAAGTTAGAAATTTCCATCAGACCTCATGGCCAAGAATGGCTCTGCTTTTCTTAAGAATTAGTGTGTTTCTTATATTAGGAACATGGTAATTCTTAATGACTGATGATGTTTCTCTCTTTGCCTTGGCCACCAGACCACGTTAGTTCCTCTTACCCCTACCAGACAATTTTTTTCTACCTTCATTTCTCCTCTTATTTTAATTATCTTCAATTTTATCTCCTAAGTTGCACAACTTTTTACCTTAATATTTTTATAGAAAAATATAGTCACTTTTTTTGTTTTATCTTAAAACTATCATATAAAATTATTTTAAATTCCCTCCCCTCCCATCAACTTAGAGCAGATGTTTCTAGGAAACCCTTCTAGATAACGTGACTCAAGTGTTTCTAAAAATATACCCACCTTTACCTTAACTTCTTCAACCTCATGTTAGATCAGTACTTATAAGCACATATCCCCCAAAGTGTAGCTAGATCTCTAGATTGTTAGGATTGGTTGCATGCAGTTTATCTCCTTCTTCCATGTTTCCATTTAGCTGCAGTGTTTATATTTCCTGGGACAGGTAAAGCTACTTGAGATTGAAGAATGTGCCCACACAACCATCCCTTGCTGGTTAACAACCTCATGATTCCTGGGCAGCTCACGTTGCCTAGAAGGCTGTTATATACATCATAGCTTTTGCTATTAATAGTCAGGATAAGATAGGTTATGCAGAAGTAACCAAAGAATACATCTCAGTGGTTTCACACAACAAAGATTATCACTCATACAAAATACACTGCAAGTTCAAGCAACTTCCCAGGGCAACCATTCTCCATACGGTGCCTCAGTAATCCATGCTGCTTTGGTTTATGAGACAAAGTCATCACAACACAAAGGTACATCCATGATCAGAAAGACAGAGGGAGAAACAGGAGAATTGCAGAGGCACTGGAAGCAATATACTTCTCTTATGCTTTTATTAGCCAGAAAAATTCACGTGCCCCTCTCTAATTGCAAGAGGACTGGGAAACAGACTCCTCTATGCCCAGGGAGGACAGGAGAGCCAGATGTTAGCAAACCCTACTAACATCTGGCTCTCCTGTCAGATCTGGCTCTCCTGTAGTTTTTTTTAACTACTTTAAAAAAAGAAAAGAAAATTCAAGTTGCTAGCTTGTCACAAAGAACTAGGAATAAATTCAAGTTTTTACCAGATGAAATTATTTGAAGTGATTTAATCCAGTAATAAGAATATATTTACACTCTGGTGAATTTATCCTTCTTCTCCAAAACCACTGCCAGCTTCCCACTGGCTCAACAAGAGTCCACTCTCTCACCTCCGCAAGCAAGGCTCTTCAAGCTCAGCTTCTCTTTCCAGCTTCATCTCCAAGTACTTACCCAATTAGCATTTTGCTCTAAACATATGAGACAGCTCACGGCTTGTACTAAACTGTACATTTTCCCAAAATATACTTTGAGTTTCCCATTTTAAAACTCTAAAAGTTTATTTAAAGCTTTCACAAAAAGCTTGCTCCCTATTTCAATTACCAACCACAAAACTTATCTATTTAACTTGTAGAAAACAACCAACTTAACTTTTTTCTTCACCTTACCACCACTAATGTTTTAAATATTTTAAATATTATTTAATATTTTAAATATTTTAAACATTATTTAATATTTTAAATATTTTAAACATTAATATTTTAAATATTTTAAACATTATTTAATATTTTAAATATTTTAAACATTATTTAATATTTTAAATATTTTAAACATTATTTAATATTTTAAATATTTTAAACATTATTTAATATTTTAAATATTATTTAATATTTTAAATAAATAATTGCTCAGAACTATTTCCTCTTCAGCATGAGGAGTTAAGATGCTAGGTGCTCTTCTCTAGAGTGAAAAATATAAAAAACAAATTTAAAACAAGCCCGATTGAACAATCTAGACTTTACTTTTTAATTTTCTACTCTAATTTTTAGCATTGTAAAAATAACATATACTCGTTTCAAAAATTTAAACCACTGCAGAAATATTTAAAATTAATAGCTCATATTTGTTATTAGCCCTGTAATATGCTAAGCACTTTATGTGAATCATGTCATTAAATCCTGACAACAATCTTATAAGAAGTACTATTGTTTGCATTTTATAGATGAAGAAACTGAAGCATAAGGGAGTTAAATATCTTTTTATCACAAAGATAAAAAGTGGTAAAGCTTTTATTTGATCAAGCACCACGCCAGGAATGAAAAGTCTCTTAAAATATCACCCTCCTTAAAATCCTACCCCCAGTTAGAAATTTCAACCTGGGCTTTTAAAGATGGTAAATAAAATATAGCGAACTTTTTCCAATGAGAACATTGACCTATAAAAGAAAGAACTTGCAAGTCCCTGATTCATTCAACTCCCCACAGGAGCAGAGTTTTTGAGAAGCGTTTCTTTTTAAGAAAAGCTGTTTAATTGGTTCATGGTTCTGCAGGGTGTACAGGAAGTGTGGTGCCAGCATCTGCTTCTGGTGAGGGCCTTAGGACACTTCCAATCATAACGAAAGGCAAAGGGAGAACACATGGTGTCACATGGTGAGAGTGACAGCAAGAGAGCTAGGAAGGGCTGTCCCAGACTTTTAAACAACCAGATCTCTCATGAACTAACTGAACGAGAGCTCACTCATCACCAAGGTGATGGTGCTAAACCATTCATGAGGGATCCGCCCACATGATGCAATCGCCTCCCACCATGCCCCACCTCCAACACTGAGAATCACATTTCAACATGAGATTTGGAGGGGACAAACATACAAACCAGTGAAGGGGAAAGAGCTGAGGAAGGGGAAGGTCTCAGCCTGATCCTTGGAACGGAATAACCCTGTATGCCAGAGGCTTGGCTTCACTTTCTGATGACTCCCAGACCCATGTTTCACTCCCGTCTCCCCTCAGCTTCACAAGCTTTACTGAGTGCTGGAGGTGGACAGCTCCCTGTCTTCAGGAGCTCCCAGTGGTCATCCACGCATGCAGGCATCTATGCTAGGGCGCATGGCACTATCACTGGGTTACTTCTATGCCTTGCACTGGGAATTGAGTTAG
Source organism: Homo sapiens (assembly GCF_000001405.40). NCBI lineage: Eukaryota > Metazoa > Chordata > Mammalia > Primates > Hominidae > Homo > Homo sapiens. The sequence goes on along the minus strand of NC_000020.11, from coordinate 6,269,246 downwards.
TTCTTGTCAATATCCACTCCAACACAGCAGTTTACAAATACATTTCAAACCTAGTTTTCTAAAGGTGCTGAAATGACATTCCCCCAAAATTTTCACTTTGGACTACAATGATGGGTTGTTACTTCCATAAGCAAAAATGCAAACTTTATTTTCCTTTTAGAAAACAAATTAAGTTCAAGGGTATATGTGCAGGTTATATAGGTAAACTCATGTCATGGGGTTTGTTGTATGGATTATTTCATCACCCAGGTAATAAGCCTAGTGCCCATTCTTTATTTTTCCTGATCCTCTCCCTGCTCCTACCCTCCATATCCTGGTAGGTCCCAGTGACTATTGTTTTCCTTTTTGTGTCCATGAGTTGAGAAGTACTTCTTGTCCTATCTGCCCAATATCTTCTCTCTCTCAACTTGATTCTCCCACTTGGCATCCTTCTTTAGGTTTAAGGTGCCAATCTACCTCTCAGGTGAGAGTACTTTCCAAATGTCATCTGTTTATATTATTATTAATAAAAAGAAGCTTGTTGTCTAGAATGGCTAACACAAATAACCACTAAATCACCATGCAGACTGACTGTCAACTGTAGAGCAGCAGAATGGGACCCAAAGATGCATCTTTAGTGGAGAAGAAGGGAAAATCTCACTGAATTCAGAGTATTCTCAGAGAAGGTTCAATGGGAAGGGTATTGCTATGAGCCTCCAACAGACCACCAGTGGGTAGAGTGAGAGGAAGTGATGAAAAGAAATTCAAGAAGGACCAAATGAACATAGCTTGCTGGTTACACTCAGCCATCCTCCTAAATGACTCTCCAAATAGTTCAAGTAAAGAATATCCTTTCTGTTTTGAGATGGAAACATTGCCTTCACCACCCCTTTTATACTTGAGGGAATCCTGAAAGTAAGAAATTCTTTATTTGGGGAAAGGTAACTCCAAGAGTCTGTTGAAAGCAATAGACCCTAACCCCAGGGGAAAAAAAAAAAAAAGTCTATGAACAAAATTTCCCATGTAATTTCAGGAGGCTTCCAGACACCAAATGAAAAGCTGGTATTGTCAGCAGTAAAAAGAAGAAAATGGACAATGCCCTATATGATATCCTCCCTGTGCCTTCACAGTGCTAAGGGGAGAGAAAAAATGCATAAACTCACTTCATATCATCCTAAGTGTCTTTGCGCATTAGAAAGAAAGAGGGAGGTTGATAAGGAGATATGCAGGGGAAGTGCCTCCCTCCTGTTAAGACTCTTTTCTACCCCACACCAACAAATTACCACTGTGATTATTGTTGACACACCTGCAACGTGAATGACGCCCTCTGCGGTTGCCTCAAGGACCATCTGTACAACCTATGTGGAGCCTGAAAGACCATTAAACAATCAGAGAATATGAACCACAACAACAGGCTAATGAAAGAAATGTGACATATTAATCTAAGTGAGAAGCATGTCGAGCATTTTTTTTTTCTCTCCTGAGACAGGAGTTCACTCTTGTTGCCCAGGCTGGAGTGCAATGGCATGATCTTGGCTCACCACAACCTTCGCCTCCTGGATTCAAGAGATTCTCCTGCCTCAGCCTCCCGAGCAGCTGGAACTACAGGCATGCACCATCATGCCTGCCTAATTTTGTATTTTTAGTAGAGACAGGGTTTCTCCAAATTGGTCAGGCTGTCAGGCATCTCTTACAAAAAAGGACAACCACCAGTTAGTTCTTTGCATTAGCCAAGGACAAGGCAAAAGGAAGAAGTTTGCAGGTACAGCACGAAACATTCCGGCTACAGAGAAGGAAGAACTGAGTAACAGGAGTGGTTGAAAGACTCTAGCTGGGGTTGCTTAAGATTGTCTAGCATTTCCTTTCTTGAGATTCAGGCACATTTGTTCATTCACAAAGTACCTACCAGCCTTTGCTTAGGCATTCACAATTCCCTCTTAGATTTGAAATGGAATACCAGATCTTTTTATCTCATACTACTTCTAAGCTAGTAGACAGTTGTGATGGATAAAGATTATAGATGAGTTAAAACAACAGCAAAATGTCCTCCCAGCTCCAATTCTTACTTATGAGTGGAAGGTTTAGCCAAGTCTATTAAGTCCATTTACATCTCAAATTAGATGTTACCACCCCACAGCAGCCTTCCTTGTGGCACACCAAAAGTGGGTTTCCCACCACACCCCAAGTAAACTCTATCTCAGCCCACTTACTGATTTCCTTCCTATCACTTGCCAGAATTTGCACTTTTTCACTTGTTTATTTACTTATTTTGTTTGCTGTTGTCTGAATTAGAATGTTAGAACCGTAAGAGAAAGAAATATGTGTGTTCTTATCATACTTGTGTGTATTCCCAGCACCCAGAGTCGTGTCCAGGGTATGGCAGCTGCTCAGCAGTTGAAGAATCCATGAACCTTTCTCAGCCTTTTTTTTTGCCTGTAAATCAGAGGTTTGCTGTGAGGACTGAATGAAAAAGGAAGGGCTTCTATAGCAGCCAGATCTATTCCAGCCAGCTCTGCAGTCAGGAGGCATCTTGGCTGCTGTTCTTCTAACTGGAAGTCATCATCAACAGGAGTGTCTAGAAGAGCCAAAGGCAGAGAAATCGATGTCTGCAGCCTTCATCCATCAAGTCCTAGCAATGGCTCCCTTTTTGTCTTTTTTCTAGCTTTATGTCATAATTTGCTGTCCCCAGGAGAGGATGGGACAAACAAGTAGGAGGGAGAGGCTTAGTAACAGGGTCAGGGGTGGTAAACCTCTTCTACTGCAGCCACGTGTGGCCCTCCCTTAACACTTAACATCCAGGGCAATGGTGTGCCTTAAGATATTCTTCAGCATTTCTCTGAGGGGCTTCTCTGAGATCAGATCATAACAATGAGACCTGTGGTAGTTAATTTTAGATGTCAACTTGACTAGGCTATGGTACCCAGTTGTTTGGTCAAACACAAGTCTAGATATCACTGTGAAGGTATCTCTCTTTCCCTCTCTCTCCATATATATGGGCTAGTATGTATATATATATATATATATATATATACATATATATATATATATATATATATACACACACACATATATTATTTCTTTGTGGGGCTTGAGACCAGATTATAGCAACGAGATCCATGATAGTTAATTTTAGATGTCAGCTTGGCTTGGCTATGGTACCCCATTGTTTAGTCAAAAAATAGTCTAGATGTTCTATTTTTTAAATGGTTCTGCTTTTCTGGAGAACCCTGAAACAAGATCATTGAAGCATTTCTCAAAATTTGTGATTTTTACATGGAGAGAATCTACATTTTTCACAGAGATTAAAAGCCATTTCATAATTCTTTCTTAGGAAAATGGTCAAAAACACCAGGCTATATGAGAGGAACGGTCCTCAGGAGCGATCTGTTGTAAGCGCCTTCTGGCCTCCTCAGAATCACTTAACCTAGGCTACCCCTCTGTGATTCAGAGAAAATTGAAACCACAGTTTAGAGCCTCAAAAAAGTTCATCGAGTGGGGAAATGAAGAGCTCCTCAGAGTTCTGACGCAAATGGAAAAGATTTTTTTCCACCCCCGGCTACCCCTCTGGGCCCTTTCACCACCTGGGAAAAAAAGTGGCACATGATTGAACAGCGTAAGTGTCTCTCCCTCCCTCTTGAATTCCATTTTTTAAAAATCTCTTTTCTAAAAATACAGGGAATTCTATGAATCTTTTTTCTGCTTCTGAAATATTTTCTACAGAATCTAGTACTTGCAAAGCGGTGATTATGAATGACTAAACAGTCTTGCATATATTTCTGGAATACTTGGAAATGCCTCTGTTATTTTTGGAAATGTGTGCTTGTTCAGGTTATTCCGGCAATGGGCAGCTACTGCAAACATTCTTTCGTGATAAAAAGCCTGTAGCTCCACCTACTGCTTCCTCAAAGATGACAACAGGGATTTCAGTGCTAAAAAATGAAAACTAAGATCCTCTTAAACAGTTTCATTTTCAAATTAAAGCTTATATATTTAGTTGCTTTCAGTAAAAATAATATGTCTCTACCACTGGCAAAAGATATATAGCCCATACATTAGGCATCACTAGCAAAAAGGGGGAAATAAAAGCAGTCAAGGAATGAATTGAGTATTTTGAAACATCTATCAATGTCTTTGCCAATATCTGCTGAAAAGCAAGCGAGATCAGAGAAATCTTTGGAGAATACACAACTTTGTGGAAAGAATTGACTTTAAAACATAAGCAAAATAATCACAAACATGAGGCCTGATGGTATCAGTGAATCTTATTTTGCCTGGATTTGAAGAAAATGGTGAAATGGGAGCTGTAGGCAAGAAAGAAGCAAACGAATCCAAGTCTTTAAATGTTCTTTTTAAAATGGTCCAATTCTCAACTTCCTTGTCTTTTCTCATGGCTCACTCACAGAGGATCTGGTCCAACAAACAATTTTTACTGAAATTAATTCTTTTGTTTTGACTATTTCCATTGCTACCAAACCTCCAAATCAACGCCCCTCCATTACAGCAAACTTTCCTTTCTAATTTCTAGAACCTCAATCACAATAGATTATGCTATTCTGTAAGATCAAGAAGTGCCAACAAAGAAACTTTTTTCTATTCTTTTATTCTTCCTATGAGTCTAAAATGCTTTTCAGATAAAATCTAGTTTCTTTCTACCACAGCTAATAAAATAAAACAATACCTTTCTCCTATTCGCAATTTTAAACTGTGAGGCATAGCTGACCTACAACAGAAAACTGGGAAGAACACTGAGAGCTACAACATCAGTGTTGTCCAGGGGTACAGTCTGTTTGTTGCTAAGTCTAAGGGGATTTTTTTTTTCTGCTTTCATTAATCAGACTTAACTGTTTAAAAGTATAAAGCTTTGGTTTCACAGTACTGCAACAACATATTGTAATTATATCACATCGAAATATTTTGCACCTTTAAATATTGAGAAAGGTTTTTTTCTTTTGTACAACTTTTTAATTTGATTTATTTTTAACCCTCCAGAGAAGTTGCCAGAATCAGACCAACACCTCCAAGGTACTTTTTATCCACGTCCAAATTGGGGCTAACTGAAATTGTTTCCCATTTGTTTTCTCCTTTCTCTCTAAAAGGAATTTTTTGCAACCCATTTGAGAATAAGTGGTAGACATCATGCTCCTTTACTCCTAAATATGTCAGCGTATATTTCTTAAGAGGAAGATGTTTTCTTACGTAACCATAGCACAATTATTAAAATATAGATTTAACATTGGTATAATTCTACTCTTTAACCCACAGTCCACATTCAAAGTTTACCTATTATCCCAACAATGTCCTTCAGAGCTATATTTTTTTATCCTACTCCAGGATCCAATCCAGACTCACACTTTCCATTTCATTATCATACATTTTCGGTCTCCTTTATTTTGGAGTAGTTCTTCAGCCTTCCTTTGTTTTCCATGACCTTGACATTTTTTTAGAGATTCTTTCATAGAATCTCCCCTATTTGGGGTTATGCATCCTTTGGTACAATTATCACAGAAATGATGTGTTCTTCTCAGCATATCACATCAAGAGAGATAAGAGATGCTGGCAACGATAACTTGGATCACTTGGTATGAGATGGTGCCTGTCAACTTTTTCTATTATAAAACTATTATTTTTTCCTCCACAATTAGTAAGTAGTTTGTAAGAAGATACCTTAAGGCTATGAATATATCCTGTTCCTCATTCAACTTCATCTACTAGTTTTAGCATGCATTCACAATTTTTTTCTGAATTACTAATGATGGTTTCAAAATAGTAATATTCTAACTCTATCATCCCTTCTACATCTACTAGTTAGCGAACTATCTTTAGCCTTCTTTATTTTAATATCATCCTCCAGCTAGTAATTGCAAATCAGGAACATATTCACAAAGACCTAAGGTGCTTCTTGATTTGAAAGAGGATTCTGAAAAAATTTTGAGTATTAAATCCTAAGGAAAATGTTAAATACCCCCCACCAAAAAAAAAAAAAAACCTCCAAACCTTTAAGCAAATTCTTCCAAAAACTTGGAACTATCAAATCAAAACTAAAATTTTTTTTAAAAAAAGAAAAGAAACCTCAAGTATCCTGAGAGGTGGTCTGATGAAGGCCAGGAAAATATATCTTCTCCCTCTGTAGTCTGAGAACCAGGGGAAGCATTCATCCTGAGCATTTGTTACCTGAGGCCACTGTTCAATCTCTACAGTTCTGCAACTTGAAGAAACCTGGAAAAATCTTTGAACTCACTTCCGACCTTGCCACTTCTTCCCAGCAGGGCCTCACATAGCAGTCTCCTCAAAAGACAAAATGAGCTTACCCTGAAGATCTTCAGAAATGCCCACCCTCTGCCAAACAGCAATCCTTCCTGTCCGATAGGATCCTGTAGCTAACCAAGGCCCTTTATTCCGCCTTCCTTTCATTATTAGCCTCAGTGTAACGATCCAGCAACCAAGTTTCATAGCTTCTGAAAGAACAAATTTTTGAGTCTTGTGAGAGTTAGGTTTATTCAGCAAATATTCACTCTGTTACCCCTTCCTTTGTGGGTGAAGTTTATTTCCCTGCTCCAGGGACATTGGCCTTGGCCGTATACTTGCAACCTGTTGACACTCCATTGGCCACGGCAAGTGCCATTCCACCTGCTTCCACAGAGTGTGGCTTGACCTCCTACTTCCTGTGATAGCCACGAGAAGAGCAGGGCTGGGTGGACACTGTCTCTTTAGTCTGAGCCCCCAGATAAAAAATGCACAAGGAACAGACCTGAACCCAACTCACAGCCTGGATCTAAGACCAGTCAACCCTCAAACTGTAGTAGTCATGCATTTGAGGCCACTTAAGACCAACTAAACCACAGGTCCCCTGAAGACCTATTGAGCATGAGAATAACTGCCAATTATGTGTCACTGAGTGGTGTATTAGCATTCTCTAAAGGGACAAAACTAATAGGATAGATGAATATATGATGGGGAGTTTATTAGGAGAATTTACTCACATAATCACAAGGTGAAGTCCCACAGTAGGCCATCTGCCAGCTGGGGAGCCAGGAAGCCCATCCAAGTCCCAAAACTTCAAAAGTAAGGAAGCTGATAGTGCAGCCTTTATCTGTGGCCAAAGGCCTGAGAGCCCCTGGCAAATCACTAGTGCAAGTCCAAAGAGTCCAAAAGCTGAAGAACTTGGAGTCTGATGTTCGTTGGCAGGAAGCATCCAGCACGGGAGAAAGAAAGAGGCCAGAAGACTTAGCAAGTCTGCTCATTCCATGCCTGCTTTTATGCTGGCAGCTGATTAGATGGTGCCCACCCAGATGGAGGTGGGTCTGCCTCTCCCAGTCAGCTGACTCAAATGTTAATCTCCTTTGGCAACACCCTTATAGGCACACCCAGGAATAATACTTTGCATCTTTCAACCCAATCAAGTTGACACTCTATTAACCATCACAGTTGGGGATGGTTTGTCACCCAACTTTGCTATGGCATAGCTGACTAATACAAATACCATAATAAAATCCTTCCCTACTACGTTCTCCAGATTAAATAAACCCAGTTCTATATCACCCTATTATAAGGCCCTCTTTTGAAGCTTTTTTCTTGTTTTTCTTGCATTTTCTTGTTTTCTCCTTTCTTAGCTTTCTCTATAAGAAACTGCTTTGTGACTTAAGAAACGTTTTCCTCCAGAAAACCTGCTGAAGATTCTAGGCAGCGTCATAGTGAGGCATTTCTTTGGACTTGTCTCGTGGCATGACAATTCAGAAAAGGTTAAGATAAAAATCTAAACAGGCCGGGCGCGGTGGCTCACGCCTGTAATCCCAGCACTTTGGGAGGCCGAGGCGGGCGGATCACGAGGTCAGGAGATCGAGACCATCCCGGCTAAAACGGTGAAACCCCGTCTCTACTAAAAATACAAAAAATTAGCCGGGCGTAGTGGCGGGCGCCTGTAGTCCCAGCTACTCGGGAGGCTGAGGCAGGAGAATGGCGTGAACCCGGGAGGCGGAGCTTGCAGTGAGCCGAGATCCCGCCACTGCACTCCAGCCTGGGCGACAGAGCGAGACTCCATCTCAAAAAAAAAAAAAAAAAAAAAAAAATCTAAACAAAAAGCAGAATACACAGAATAAAATTATCTGTAAAATAGACACCCCAAAATGTATACTCTTATAAATTGTAAACAGTGTTTATGACTATGATCACAATAAACCTGGAAGGAAATAAAGTACTATTCTACTCATGGCGATCTTCAAGGACATGAGACCTGAGCAGTCACACAGGGCCCCATGCTTAGAAGGCCCCTGTCCCCAGTTCAAAATTCTGCTGTCACTGTCTTGAAATTCTTAATTATGTCTTCAAAGGGCTCTTCAATTTTATTTTTTACTAGGCCCCACAAATTATGTAGCCAATCCTAATTCCACTTACAAGACAATTCCCATCCTGAAGCTTGTTCCTCCATTTTCTCTGCCAATGCCTTGGTTCAGGCCTTCATATCCTCTTCTTGTATATTTGCAAGAGTTCTCATTTAGTCTGTTTGCTTTTTATCTCTTTTGTTCCCATTTTTCCTCCAGAATATACAGATCTGACCACACTACTCCTTTAAAATGTTTCAATAAATCTTTATTGCATGCAGGACAAGGTTCAAATTACTTAGCAAGATGTCTTAGTCTATTTTTCTACTGCTATAATAGAATATCACAGACTGAGTAATTCATAAAGAATAGAAGTTTATTTGGCACACAGTTCTGGAGTCTAGGAAGTCCAAGAGGATGGAACTTGCATCTGCTCAGCATCTGATGAAGGCCTTCTTGCTATATAATCCCATGACAGAATTTATCATGTGGCGAGGAAGGCCACACGAGAGACAGTGAGAAAATAGGGGCCAAACTCATCCTTTTATCAGGAGCCCACTCCCATAATAGCTAACCTACTCCCATGATAATGACATTAATTCACTCACAAGGGCAGAGCCTTCATGACTTAATCACCTCTTAAGGGTCCCACCTCTTAATACCTCTTAATACAATGGTAATTAAATTTCAACATAAGTTTTGGTAGAGACATGCAAACCACACTACAAGGAATACGTGTCCATTACAGGATGATGCAAACTCTATTCCAGTCCCTGCACCCCCTCTCCTCACATCCTTCACTCACCCAGTGTTATTTCTCAAGGTTTTCTTTTGTTCTTCCCTATCTTTGCTCACACCTCTGCCTAGAATGCTCTTCCCTCCATCCACTTAACTGAGAGTACTGAACCAAATGTGACCTCAACAGTATTCTCTGTCTATTCTCTTACTCCGCACAAATTCTTAACTCCTCATTTGGGTAGCATCTGAATATACTTCTGTTATGGCACTTCACATAAGCACTATGTGGTTTATTTACTCCTCCACAAATTGTAAGCTTTCAGAATTAGGAATCATATCTTGTCCTTCTTTCTACTCTTAGCTCAATGACTAACGTAGAAAGCACCAATAGTAGGCATTCAAGAGATCATTGAATTTGAATTGTCACTTAAGTAATGAGAAACTTACACCCAAATGTTTCAGTTCTTCAAAATCACCCAGTAAGTTAATAACAAAGGCAGGACTCAATCTCAGGCCACCCGATTCTTGGTTCAATACACCACATTGTCTTCTCCTGGTGATTTTCCAACAAGATATCAGTCACATTACCCCGCTAATCCATGAATGAAGTAACTCATCTTTTTGTGCTTGTCCAAATAATGGGGAGACAGCAGTAATGCTGTGGTCCCTCCTAGAGATTCTAAGATATAGAATTTCAGATCTGGGTGGGGTCTTAGAGGTTGTTTATTCCAACTCTTCATTTCAGTCAAGAGAAAGAAAAAAAGAAACAGGAAAATAAAGAGGCTTATCCTAGGCTACATAATCAGTTACCAGTTGTGCCAAGTCTCAAGTCAATGCTAATTCCACTGATCACATTGCCTTATCATTAGAGGCAAAAATCCAGATTAACATGCTTTGCCACTGCAAATGAATTTGATTGGTTCCCTAACAGCTTCCACTGGACTAATATCCTTCTCCCTTAGGCTGAGTGGAAGGACACTTGAGACTCACACAGTGCCATGAAGTCTTTTGGCTTTCACCACCACCAAAGTACAGGTGTCATCTAAGCACTGGATTGCTCAAATGCAGGGTGGAGAAGCCCACATATCTCCTCCCTGCTTCACGCACCCTTTCCCCATCTATAAAAGTAAGGCTGAAGCTTGGTGATATATGGTTTCTCCATACTTAAAAACTGTCCCTAAGGGAAAAGTTCATGTTAACAAAAGCTGGGAGGGGATTCCATAATTATCTCCAAATATGCAATGGATGTTGTTCAGAGACTAACTATTGCCTCTTTTCCAGAAGCTGTGAAGAAGGAGTAAATTGTTCTAACTCCAGCCTGAAAGATCCAAGGTAGATACCAGGGAGAAGAGAGGCATCAAACACAAAGTAGGAGGCTGGAAACATATTTCTGATAATACGAACTCTTTAGAAAATAATAAATTAAAATTGCATAAGCAAACAAAAGAATACTTCAAGTGGCCTAAATCGGCAACTTTGGAAACACCTTAAATGGAAAGTATATGTGTCGATCTCTGGAATTTATTCCCACAGAAAATTTGGAATTAAAGTTGCTGATCGAGGGCATGCAATCTGGGAAAAAGAATTTAACAGGGGCCAGTGCTCTTGGTCAGATGATGCCTCCTTCCTCCTTGTCCCTAGTTGCAGGGATGTTCAGTATGAAATAGAAGAAAGACAACTGAGCCAAGGCCCCAAAAGTTTGATTGAAACACACCCTCCATCTACACCTTCATGTCTGTAGCTGAAATATGAGGATTAGGAAAGAGCAAGGGCTTCAATTATGTACAAACCAGTTCAAATACCAACTGAATCACTTCCCAGCAATGCCATTTAATGTCTTCAGTTCTCTTTCCTCTTCTCTGAAATAAAAAATATATTGTCTATCTCACAGGGATTTTCTAAGAATTCACATTACTTTTAAAAGCCTCAGCACAGCCTCCCTTGTACTCAATTTAAATAGAAGATAGATGATAGATAGATAGATAAATAGATGATAGATAGATAGATAGTTGATAGATTCCCATGTTTTCCTACATTGAGTTTCTGGGAGGAGTAAATAACGCACGATATACATGTCTGACACATAATCATCATATAATAAATGTTAGTTTTCTTTTCCTTTCCTTCTCACATCACCATCACAATAGTGAGGGTTTTGTCATAGCTAATCCTAAAATCCCTTCTAATTCTATAATTTTACTAATAAAGTCTCTGCTTTACCACTTTGCTTTATTGGTATATCCTTGGAACCATCACAGTAGCAAGTTAGCATAGTTATATGCCTTAATTAGTATTTGTAGCACTGAGTTAGGTTTCCCCAATATAAACAAGGTTTGGGGAAAGGTGTGTGCTCTCTGTACTTCTAAAACTACACACTAAAAAAGTGACTCTGCTTACTAGCTTATTTGAGACTACAAAAGTCATAGTCTTGCAGAACACAACATTGACAGGACACACTGCCACGGAAAAAAAGCCACACCACGTTCTCCCTCAAGTTTCACATGTACAGCATCTTTGGAAATCAGATTACTGCCTTCTAGAATTCAGCAGCAATCTCTAGCCATTAGTTGCTTTTCAAAGGTACCGTATCAGTGTAGCATTTTTAAACAGCACCCACAGCTTAAAGGGAACCATCAGGAATCTCCCTTTGAATCCATATTTGATCACTGGACAAATTTTCCATATCCTGTTCTAGGCAGCTTCAAAGACATCTGTTACGATTAAAGAATGATCAAGAAAGTGCTCTCACATTATAGAGGAAATGGGCTCAGTTTAATATGAATTGCTGGCACTATAAAACCTTGTTTCGAAGCTGAGGAGTGATCATCAACATCTGTGCCTGCTCCAGCCAGACAGGCAAGTCCAGGACAACTGGGGGCCATAGTGACTCCATTTCTGGAAAGAATTTCCCTACAATGTGGGACTGATGACATCACACAAGCAAAATCTCTATTACCCAAGTACAACATACATCACCCCAACTAGATATAAGAGAAGAAAAGGAAATTCATGGAGAAGCCATACTTCATCCCATGCTAGGGCTCTCTTGATTCCAACTGATTTACATTAAGACAATTCTCAGGTCTATTTCTCATGATTTCTGTTCTTCCTCTGCCTCTTCTGCAGATATTAAATACTGAATTTGAGTAACTTCAAAAAAATTATTTAACATCTTCCTTCCTGTCCAACTTCCAACCTTATTATACATCATCCTGTATAATCTTGATTATCTGACATGTACACATTTATGTTAACAGCACAAAAAGCATTTATTTTGCACCTGTGGTATACACATCAACCAAGAGGCTCAATGTGTGGTCTTGATGTGAGGGAGCCAACAGATCTAGAGAGGAACTATGACAGATAGAGGAATAACTACCACCTAAGGAGGCAAAAGTAAGTGTCTTCAGAGTGGTAGCAACAGAGTGCTACCAGAACTCAGAGAAGAAAAAGGTTATTTCCAACTGGGTCAGTCAGTAAAGCAATGGCCCATGAACAGGTTTTTGAAGGATTTAAATGACTAATGATTGTCAGGGGAAGCGTTTCTGCAGATTACAAGAACGGCATAAGAAAAGAAGCGTTCTAGAAACCAAAACCAAAGACAAAACGTAAACTCAACCATCAAAAAAATTCCAACCTAACCCTTTCTGTAGTGAATTGGATCACAAATAAATACATAAAACCAGTTGGAAAAGCAAGGTTTATATGTTTCACAGATTGCTTTGTGTTGAATGGCAGTGTGCATGATGAATTAGGGAGGGAATGCCTGGCAGCAGTGGGTGATGAGCAGGACACAAAAGGGGCTAGGATTGGTGTAAACAGCAGAGAAAAGATTTCAGGTATGTAAAACAATCAATGTAAAATGCTGCCCCCATGAGCACCTTCCTCCATTTTCCTAAACACATGCACACTTGTTCATTCATCAAAAGTTACTGAGCACCTACTATGTGCCAGGTATTAGAGATACAGAGGTGCTTTTATGGTATTGTGTAGGAGATGATATTCAGTAACTACAGAAATAATTACAATTTAATTGCAGTTGTGATTAATACAGTGAAGAAAAGGCACAGGGTGTTTTAACAGTCCGTAAGTGTAATATAGAACTTGCCTGTCTCTTTAGAGGTTGCATTTCAACATTTCAAAAAGGGGTCACCATATCCCACTGTCTCCAAAGCAAGTTGCTGATCCATGCCACCTTCTTCAGAGCACTATGGCTCTGTGGTCCTCCTATGTGGGTTCCATAGTCCTCTTGCCTTCGGATCATCAGACATGGCATTACCAATTATTTTCAACACCTGCTGCACCAGTGATGTGACTGCCTGCAGGAACTATTGGTGCTACCATGCAGACAACCTTTGCTAGCTAGGTCCCCACCAGCTCCCAGCTGCTATCAGTGTTGACTGCTAACAGCTCACAGCTGCTCTTTTCTCAGGAAAAGTGCCCTCATCTTACAGAATCCGCCCCTCCAAGAAATGACCAGAGGTCACCAGCACAAGCATCCTCTCATGTACATGCACACAAAGGAAGAGTCCCACCAGTGACTGATGGACACAGGGTTACTTAAAACCAACCCTCTTGCTTTCAGGTGAAACAACTCTGTGTTGTAATTCACTCTCCAGAGCTCCCTGTGGCATCAGGCTGAGGCTGGACTCCTCCCAAGCCTACATGTTTGCCCAGCTTCTTCCTGGGCCCTGTCCTCCCTCTTTCCCTCCCTCCCTCCCTCCCTCCCAGGTTCATCTGAGAGCTCTCCATCAATAACTCACTTGCTCAAGAATCCCCATCCCAGGTCTGCTTCTAGGAAGCCCACTTTTCACACTGTCCTTTTCTGAATGCTACAATGCCTTCCAGTTGCAAATTATAACCCTTTGGATTTCTCCTCCAATGTTCTGCTTAAGGTGCCAATAAGCAGTGACATCAGCGGACCAGCAGCCAAACAAGGAAATGAATGGAACCAAAGGTCCTTAGATAATCAGCCCCCGAAAAAAAATCCTAGTTAACAGTACAGCAAGACACCCTATATGGAGTTCTCACTATTAAAGTCTTCCCATTTGATAAAGTATTTTCAAATGGTCTTTTTCATCTCCCTCATAACTTTTTTTTTTAACTTTTATATATTTAGGGGGCACAAGTGTAGATTTCTTACCTGCCTATACCGTATCATGATGAAGTCTGGGCTTTTAGTGTACCATCACCCAAAGAGTGAACACTGTACCCAGTAGGTAATTTATCAACCCTCATCCCCCTCCCACCCTTCCACGTGTTGGAGCCTCCAATGTCTATTACTCCACTCTGGATGTTCATGTGTACTCATTGTTTAGCTGTCATTTATAGGTGAGAAAATGTGGTATTTGACTTTCTGTTTCTGAGTTATTTCACTTAGGATAGTGGTTTCCAGTTCCATCCATGTTGCTGTAAAATACATGATTTCATTATTTTTATGGCTGAGTAGTGTTCCACGGTATGTATATACCACATTTTCTTTATTCAGTCCTCCCTTGGTGGACACTTAGGTTGATTCCACATCTTTGCTGTTGTGAATAATGCTGATAAACATATGAGTGCAGTATCTTTTTGATATAATTATTTCTTTACCTTTGGGTATGCACTCCATAGTAGGACTGCTGGATCAAACAGTAATTCTCTGAGAATTCTCACACTGTTTTCCGTATAGGTTGTACTAATTTACATTCCCACCAACAGTGTCAACAGAATAAACAGACAACCTATAGAATGGGAAAAAATATTTGCAAACTATGCATCAAAGGGTTAATATCCAGAAGCTACAAGGAACTCAAACAGCTCAGAAAGGGGGGGAAAAGAAGTTTAAAAGTGGGCAAAGAACATGAACAGACATTTTTCTGTTTTTTTTTTTCCTTAGACAATTTATTGTTAAATGAAGAGTTCACGAAGCAAAATGGAGTGGGACAGATATGAAAGGTAAATTGAAAACATAGTTTTTGTCAAATACTACTCTAGATTTCCTCAAGTTAGAAACAGGAAAAGTGTCAAATGAACAGGTACTCCCTCAAATTAAGTCTTTTTAAAAGGTCGAACAGACATTTTTCAAAAGAAGACATACAAGCAGCCAATGAACATATGAAAAAATGCTCAACACCACTAATCATCAGGGAAATACAAATTAAAACCACAGTGAGATACCATCTCACTCTAGTCAGATGCTATTTTAATGGATCTTTTTATTATTGATTCATCACAACTTTACATATTTCAGGGTACATGTGATATTTTGACACATGCATGCAATGTGTAATAATCAAATCAGGGTATTTAAGATACCCATCATCTCAGATATTTATCATTTCTTGTGTTGGGAACATTTCACATTTTTTCATCTAACTATTTTGAAATATACAATAAATTATTAACTATGCTTTTCTTTCTGGTCAGTGCAATATAGAATTACTTGATACTTATTTCTTCACGCTTACAAGTTTAGATTAACTTAAAATGTCATGACCTAGAAGGGTCTACATATTTTAATTATGACAGCATAGCACTTCATCATTAAGTCTTTTTTCTGGTGGCTTCTCCCTGCCTCCTCATTTTTAGTAATTGAACCCACTTTGCTCTTGATTATTCCAAGCATTAAGTAACATAAGTCTTTCAGCTTCTGGATGAATAATTTATTTATGATATCATAAAAGAATATAAAATAAACAACTCATTTGTTTCATTTAATGTAGTCATTTTGAAATCTGTTTTTCATCACAGAGTCTTTTGCCAAATTAGAAATGCGAGTACAGATAGAAATTGATTCAGTCTTAATGACTCTCACTCAATTCTTCAAACTGGAAAATGGCTGGATAAATGATGCACTAAGGAATTGTCTTTACCATTAGAAATGCTCTTCAGCTATTTTCAGAAAAATGCTTTTATAAAACATTTAATATTTGTCCAGCGTGATGCTAATCAAGAAAGAGCTCTTAGCCTTAAGGCTATTCATGATTGGCTATAGATTTTACATAGATTTCCCAAGATTTCAGCACTGAAATTTGATCTCTGAAAAAAGTCAGTTATATACATTTGGTTCCACAAAAGTGCTTGACTGTCTTTGCCCTAGCCCTAAATAGGTCCCCAAGAAGACATTCAAGATAAACCAAAGGTAAGAATAAATGAGGTAATGTGCATTAGAAGGATCAGCCCTGGGAAAATTGAGCACAGAGTGAAGTTTATCTTTAATGACCTTCTTCCCTTTTCTGTATCTTCTAGCATCTGAGATCCCTGCTATCTGTCAAAAGCCTGTTCAGCGTTTCATTCCAGACCAGTCACCCCCTCACTAAAGCTTCACACCATAATGGGTCTGTGTTGAGAGCTTGGTGCCAAGGGATCTTGAAAACTGAGAGACCTTTAAATGCCAAAACTATCATTCTCTAATGGGGAGATTGCAGGCATTGCTGCAAGTTAAAAATTTTAGGGTGGAAAAGCATTTATTCCCTATGATTTGCCAAGCACTTTTTATAGCTAGAGGCAAAAGAGTCCTAAAATCGCTTCTCTATGAAACTTTCTTTGACACAAGAGACTTACAATTGTCCTGTTAATAGCTGATAGTGATTTTCTGGTGGTTATCTCATTTTTATTATACCATACAGCTTTTTGAGGATTGCATGAGTTTTACAGTGTGTCTTTCTTTAAGACTATTATCTTATTTAGAATATAATCTTGGCAAGAAGCTCCGTGCCTATTTGCCTTGACTTGCTTGGACCAAACACAAGTGGTCAAAACAAATTTAAAACATGGAAATTAGGATTCATTTGAGGTATTTATTTATATATTTGGTTGGTTGTTTGGTTGGTTGGTTGGAGAGGGCTTTCTTTTTTTCAACTGTTGTTTTAGATTCAGTAAGTGCGTGTATAGGTTTGCTACCTGGGTATATTGCATAGTGCTGAGGTTCGGGGTATAAAAGATCCTGTCACCTAGGTACTGAGCATCTATACCCAACAGCTAGCCTTTCAACTCTTGCCTGCCTCCCTCCTTCCCCTCTCCAGAAGTCCTCAGTTTCTATTGTTGCCCAGAATGGCTATTAATAAAAAGTCAGAAAACAACAGATGTTGACGAGGATACGGAGAAAGGGGAGCAACTTTTCCCATCAGAAATGTTTTTAGCATGCTAACAGTACTTATTGAGGTACGATTTACACACAGTAGCATGCACAAACCTTTAGACTACAGTTCAATGAAGTAACCATTTAACTCATGTAAACATCATTCACATTAAGACAGCACTTTTCCTTCACCTTTCCTTTGAATCATCCCCCAAGAGACAACTTCTGTTCTGATTTCTGTCACTATAACAAATTTTCATATAAATGGAATCCCACAGTATATATTCTTTTCTGTCTGGCTCATTTTGCTCAACAATATGCTTTTTATTCCCATCCATGCTGCTGTGTATGTTGGTTTGCTCCTTTCCATTGCTAAGTAGTATTCCACTGGATGGATACAGCATAATTTCTTTATCTATTCCCCTGTTGATAGGTATTCGGATTGTCTCTAGGGTTTGGTAATGATGAACAAGGCTTATAAGAGACTTCTTGTATATCCCATTAGAAATGTTTATAATTAGCTGTAGAAATTCTATATATTGAATTCCCCTTTCTCATTGTCCAATTAGAAAGCAATAAACCCATTCCACTGTGGGGAAAAGTCAGGGATAATAAGTCTTCAGGCCCAGGTTATGGTAAGAAGGTTAGGCCTAAGTCAGTAGACAGCTTGAAGACACCCAGGTGTCAGGAGAGAAGAGCAGGGAAGGTGACATAGAATCGGTGTCCATCCCAATGCTCCCTCATGTTTGGGGCCCTTAGTCCATGGGATATTGCTCTCAGGTACCCGATCTCAGTATGGGATTGACAGCTATCTGCGTTAACCTACCTACATTGAATAGATTGTTAAAGTTTGAGGCTTCCTCTAGAACAGCAAGGGGACAGCAGAATCAG
This sequence comes from Homo sapiens, assembly GCF_000001405.40. Taxonomy (NCBI): domain Eukaryota; kingdom Metazoa; phylum Chordata; class Mammalia; order Primates; family Hominidae; genus Homo; species Homo sapiens. The sequence goes on along the minus strand of NC_000020.11, from coordinate 6,251,258 downwards.
CAAACAGTAGAATCAAATACACACTCCATGAAATACATCCAACATGAAATGCTGACATGAACCTCTAGGGAACAGAGGAAAGCATCCTCTTAGGGGTGTTTTGTTTTGTTTTGTTTTTTCCAGGGAAAAAATTCTCAAAATTTCATGAGATTTTATATAGGCTATACTAAATTCACTCCTTGTTTTACAATTCCTTTATAGCTTTAAATATCACATATTTGCCTCAACTTATCAATGTATTGACTCTGTAAAGACTCAGTTATTTAACCTTCATAGCTACCCTAGGAGATAAGTCCCATTATTTTTCCAACTTTATAATTGAAGAAACAGGCACGAGAAGATTGAGTAACTTGCCCAAGTTAGACAGCAACCAGAATCATGCTGCTATGTTCATTGGCTTGTTTGGCGCCATTTTTTGCACTAAACTGTGTGAAAATAGGTGCTCCATAAAATAGTGACCATATTTATCCAGAAGCCATGGCCTCAAAAATACAGTATACAGCTAAGACAAAGAAAGAAAGAAACACAATACATGAGCTTTCCAGGATCCTTACAATCTAGAGGTGGACATATTGTTCTAAGACGCTGGGGACCCCAGAGATGGGGATGTGGCCTTGTTGCTGCTAAGGTTGGCTCAAGAATAAGGAAGGCCTTAAATATCTTAAGCGTTTCCTATTTTGGGCTTAGTTTGTTTGCAGTAAGTTTTCCCTGAGCAGCAATGCAGCCTGTAAAACTGGGTGCTGAAAGCAAAGCACTTGGCCCATGGCAGGTTTTAAGCTTGGTGTAGAGAAAGGCAACAGTAGCTTAGGGTTGCTGGGACAGCTACACTGCATGAACTCCTGCACTGAGTGGTCCCTTGGCTTCTAATGAGATTCCATGACCTCAGATATAATCTACCCTTACAGTGGTAAAGAGTGATCACTTTTAAAAAAATTGATATTCCACCAGAAATGCCATAATGAGCATTAACAGAGGAGCAAACACCTGAGGCCCTCAGTTAGCGCCTATTTACTCTTAGTTGACATCTATTATAAGTCTAACAAATTTAAAAGAGAAAGAAGAAAACAGGCCAGATGCAAACCCACACAGAGCAAAAGGAGGGATCCCTGACATCCTGAGAAGCAGAGAGCAGAACTCAAAGATCATAGAAATTTCAGCTAACAGAAACAGTGTCTTACCTGCCTTCCTGAAGGCTTCATCATATGTATTAATCATGCCTTTTTATTTTCTATATTTCTGATTATTAGAGATCTGAGGTCTTGCTAACCCTGGAAAAACTGCTCCTCCCAGGGCTAATCAGTTCCTAAAGATGGCAAATAATTTGCCTAGGAGCACGTTTTCCATATGCAAATCAAACAATCCAGAGCCCCCACTCCAACCACCTCTTAATGGGACTCTCAAAGGTGAGCCACTGCTTCCCTGCCCTCATCACCCCAGGGCTGGGGACCAGGTAACTAGGGACAGTCCATATGCCCCAGAGCTCACTGAAACTATTCAAACCCACCAATCCTAAACCTGCTTACCTATCTTGCCTGTTCCTTCCCACAGAAACCACAATAAAGGCTCTTGTCCAAGATATCCTCTTCCTGCTTCCTTTGCTCCCCGATCAGCCCTGGTGCTTCCCATATGGCCCTGCAGGACGTGCTGTGCCTCCTGTTACTAGAGATCTGTGACTATAAAAACCTCTTCTTTTATAACAGTCATTCTATGGCTGGGTGTCTTACCATGTCTGATTAAAACAGCACCAAGAAAATGACTAAATCCTGTTCAGTGGAATCTAAATGACAAAAGTCAAAGGTATATGTATTAATCCATTCTCACACTGCTATAAGGAAATACCTCAGACAGGGTAATTTATAAAGAAAAGAGCTTGAATTGGCTTATGGTTCCATAGGCTATATGGGAAGCATAGCAGCTTCTGCTTCTGGGGAGACCTCAGGAAGCTTACAATCATGGTGGAAGGCAAAGGGGGGAGCAAGGCATCGGCATGATGGGGGCAGGAGCAAGAGGCAGGGGAATGCTACACACTTTTAAACAAGCAGGTCTTGCAAGAACTCACTCACTATTGTGAGGACAGCACCAAAGGGATGACAGTAAACCATTCATGAAAAACACCCTCATGACCCAATCACCTCCCACCAGGCCCCACCTCCAACATTGGGGATTACGATTTGACATGAGATTTGGGTGGAGACACGGATCCAAACCATATCAGTATGTAATTCCATAAATTAATGTCAGATACCAAAACCCAGAGGGGCAGCTCAGAACACCAAGCAAGATAAATACCAAATAAATAAATAAATATGTAAACAATAAAAACTACATCTAGGCATACTATATTCAAGTAGAGAAAATTGAAGATTTTTTAAAAATATGCTGAAAGAAGCCAGAGGGAAAAGAAACCTTACCTACAGAGGAGCACAAATAACAATTTCCAGCTTCTCTTCAGAAACCATGCAAGCAAGATGAGTAAAGTGAAATATTTAAAGTGTTGAGAGAAAAATATTTCCAACCTAGAATTCTGTACCCTGTAAAGGTATACTTCAAAAGCAAAGGAGAAATAAAAGATTTTCTCAGACAAACAAAAATTAAAGGAATTTGTTGCCAGTCGACCTGCCTTTCAGGAAATACTAAAAGAAATTCTCTTGAGAGAAGGAAAACAATATAGGCCAAAAACACAGAACTACATAAAGAGGAGCATTGGAGAAGGAATAAGTAAAGGTAAAAGAAAAATTTTTCTTAATTTTAATTGATCTAACAGATAATACTTGGTAAAGATAATAGCAATATATAGTATTTTATGAATGTATATGTGTATGGGTATATGTGTATATACACACATACAGTTGACCCTTAAACAATTTGGGGATTAGGAGTGCTCACCTCTATGCAATTGGAAATCCATGTATGACTTTTTTTATTTTTGGAGATGGACTCCCACTCTATCACCCAGGCTGGAGTGCAGTGGCATGATCTTGGCTCACTGCAACCTCTGCCTCCGAGGTTCAAGCGATTCTCCTGCCTCAGCCTCCCAAGTAGCTGGGATTACAGGCACCTGCCACCACACCCAGCTAATTTTTGTATTTTTAGTAGAAACAGAGTTTCACTATGTTGGCCAGGCTTGTCTCGAACTCCTGACCTCAAGTGATCCACCTGCCTCTGCCTCCCAAAGTGCTGGGATTACAGGCATGAGCCACTGTGCCCAGCCTCCATGTATAACTTTTGACTTTCAAAAAGCTTAACTACTAATAGCCTACTATTGACTAGAAGCCATACCAATAGCATAAACAGTCAACACATATTTTGTATGTTATATATATTATATACTATATTCTTACAATAAAGTAAGCTAGAAAAAAATATTAAGAAAATCATAAGTAAGAGAAAATGTATTTACTATTCATTAAGTAGAAGTGGATCATTAGAAAGGTCTTCACCTGCATCATCTTCACTTTGAATAGGCTGAGGAAGAGGAGGAAGAAGAGTGGGTGGCTCTGCTGTCTCAGGGGTTACAGAGGCAGAAGAAAACAGTTCAAACCTGTTTGTTCAAGGGGTGACTCTGTATATTTATATATGCTTAGGTGTAACTGAAATGAATGATGGCAGTGATACAAGGGACTAGAGGGATGGATTGAGGATATTTTGTTCTTATAAGGTACTCACACTACCTGTGAAGTGGCATGGTGTCATTTGAAAGGGGCCTTGGATTAGCTGTAAATGTGTATTACAAACTCTAGGTCAACCACTAAAAAATGTTTTTTTTAAACAACCAGTATAGGACCAGGCTCATTGGCTCATGCCTGTATTCCCAACACTCTGGCAGGCCGAGGCGGGTGGATCACGAGATCAGGAGATTGAGACCATCCTGGCTCACATGGTGAAACCTCATCTTTACTAAAAATACAAAACATTAGCCGAGCGTGGTGGCACGCACCTGTAATCCCAGCTACTCTGGAGGCTAAAGCAGGAGAATCGCTTGAACCTGGAAGGCAGAGGTTGCAGTGAGCCGAGATCTCACCACTGCACTCCAGCCTGGGTGACAGAGCGAGACTCCGTCAAAAGAAAAAAAAAGAAAAGAAAAGAAAAGAAAAAAAGCAGTATAACTGATGTGCTAAGAAAGGAGAGAAAATAGAATCATATAAAACGCTCAATAAAACCACAAAAGGAAGAAAAAGAGTGGAAAACAAAAATAGGAACAAAGAACAAGGGCAACAGATAGAAAACAGTAACGAATGTAGTAGATGTGAATCTAATCTAACTATATCAATAATCACTTTGAACATCAATGGTCTAAATGCAATAATTGAAAGACAGTGATGGTCAGAGAAGATAAAAAAACAAGACCCAATTATATGTTGCTACAAGAAGCCCACTTTAAATATAAAGACATATAGGTTTTAAAGAATTGATAGAGAAAGATATACAACAGTAGAAGTGATATGTGCTTATGGAAAAATATACCTCCACGTGTGTGTTTGTGTTTATGTGTGTGTGTGTGTGTGTGTGTCCAGACAACACAGAGAAATATAAAATGTATTAAGTGAAAAATAGTTCTTTTCCTCCTCCCTCCTCTTCTAATTCCCACCATTAACAGTGTTTTGTGTATCCCTTAAGACATTTTCACATGAGGACTCACAGTTTTACTTAGTTTCATTTTCACCAAATCAAATGGTACGATACGTATTGTTCTATAACTTGCTTTAATTTACCTAACAATAATTCTTGTTAATCTTTCTTCCTTTCTGTAATCTCAGCCCTTGTAGATCTATATTTTATAAAATGATTTAAAAGTTTTGAAAGTCATTAATTATATGCAGATAGCAAGACTGTGCTGGACGGCACAGAGCACAGAATACCTCTCTATCATTTTGATGCCAATTTCAGAATCTATTCCTAAATTTCAGAGGCTGTATATTAGGCAGAGACTAAGCCTGCACTATCCTATATAGTAGGCACTAGCCCCATGTGGCTATTTAAATTTAATTTGATTTAAATGAAAGTTAAAATTCAGGTTCTCAGCGGCACTAGCCACATTTCAAGTGCTCAATGGTCACATGTAGCCAGTGGGTACTGTTTTGGACACCTCAGATACAGAAAATGGCCATCATGATGGAGAGTTCTATTGGACATCAGCAGTTTAACCTTTATGTGTTTACCCCAGAGACGAATTGTGTGTATGATATTGATTACAAATGAGTTAAGAAGCCAAACAGGGCCAGAGGAACACCCAGGCACTGAGAACAGCAGAAAGCTACTTCTACCCCTAGGACAGCAGGGACCTCGAGAGGAGGTGGTGTTTCCAGTGCCCATGGCTGGGGTGATCTTGTGGAACCTGAAAACATAGCAGGTCTGTGTGATGGAAGCTGAAGCTATACAGGAAACACAGCCACTACTACAGATGCTACTCAAAGCAGAGAGAAGAAATAATTATACCTGCTTTCTCCCTCCTACTGCCTTCCCATATCCTACCAGTACCTTCCATTGGTTCAACCCAGCTTGAAACCAGCTGCACAAGAGCCTGGGAAAGACAGCCCGCAAGGAAAGGAGAGAAGAATGCAGCAGGCAGGACTCCCAGAGGTGAGGCAAAGCCTGGTCCACTGGGAGAACTGCAGGCACTGTGGGCCAAGCAAAGACCTCAGTGATGGAGCTGGGGCTGTACACAGGGAGCCGACTGTGAAGGTCCTTGAGTGGGGCCCTGAGGAGTCCAGACTTCATCCGAAAGACTCAGATAAGCTATTGGCAGGTTTTAGGAGGAGAATGTCAAGGTTAGATTTGTGTTTTAGGAAGATCATTAGGCTACACCAGCGATCTTTAGTGTGTGGGCCCTGGAACAGCAGCATCAGCATCACTTGGAAGTTTGCTGGAAATGCAAATTCTTGTCCCACCTGGGACCTAATAAGTCAGAAACTCTGGGGGCGTGGCCCAGCAATCTGTATTAACAAATCCTCCGGGTGACTCCGAATCATGCTAGAGTTTGAAAACCTTTGGGCTAGCTTGGAGGTGGGAGGACTAGCTAGGGTCTCTATGAAAGGTGATGAAGGCTCTGGTAGAGACACGAGACGTGGAGGGGGGTCCCGCTTGGAGAGTAATTAAAGAAGTAGGCTGGCAGGGCTGGTGACAGGGCAGGTGTGGCAACAGGAAAGGAGGTATCTGTTTGAAACAAGCAGGGGAAGCAAGTGTCCATGCAATGGAGTTGATAGACTGCCAGACAGAAAACCTCTCTGACCCAAATACATTTAATCACTGAATAGCCCCTGATTGCTCACAGTTCTACTCTAAGCACAGTACCCAACAACTGCAAAGAAGCTATGGCCTCCAGGAGCTGACAGCTGACATGGATTTCTCCAGCAGGTCATCGACCAGAACTCCCACCGCTAGATTAAAGCATTTGCCTCTGTTAAAATGCAGATGCTTCCTACAGGGAAAACCACAGGCTCTGCATCCTTCACGGGCAGTAAAGTCTAAAGAAGCAGGTTGTGCACAGTGGCTCATGCCTGTAATCCCAGCACTTTTGGAGGCCAAGGCAGGAGGATTGCTTGAGGTCAGGAGCTCAAGACCAGCCCGGGCAACATAGCAAGACCCTGTCTCTAAAGTTAAACTAAAAACAACTAAAAAGTCAGGAAACAACAGATGCTGGAGAGGATGTAGAGACATAAGAATGCTTTTACACTGTTGATGGGGGTGTAAGTTAGTTCAACCATTGTGGAAGACAATGTGCCAATTCCTCAAGGATCTAGATCCAGAAATACCATTTGACCTGGCAATCCCATTACTGGGTATATACCCAAAGGATTATAAATCATTCTACTATAAAGACACATGCACACGTATGTTTACTGCAGCACTGTTCACAATAGCAAAGATTTGGAACCAACCCAAATGCCCCTCAATGATATACTGGATAAAGAAAATATGGCATATATACACCGTGGAATACTATGCAGCCATAAAAAAGGATGAGTTCATGTCCTTTGCAGGGACATGGATGAAGCTGGAAACCATCATACTCAGCAAACACAGGAACAGAAAACCAAACACCACATGTTCTCACACATAAGTGGGAGTTGAACAATGAGAACACATGGACACAGGGAGGGGAACATCACACACCGGGGCCAGTTTGGGGAGATGGTGGACTAGGGGAGGGAGAGCATTAGGACAAATACCTAATGTAGATGACAGGTTGATGGGTACAGCAAACCACCATGGCACATGTATACCTATGTAACAAACCTGCACGTTCTGCACATATATCCTGAAACTTAAAGTATAATTTAAAAAAAAAAAAATTAGCTGAGTGTGATGGTGCCAACCTGATATCCTATCTGCTCAGGAGGCTGAAGTGGGAGGATTTCTTGATCCCAGGAGTTCGAGGCTGCAGTGAGCTCTGATCTTGCAACTGTGCCCCAGCCTTGGCAACAAGGTGAGACCCTGTCTCTTTAAAATAAATAAATAAATATGGACACCTTTGTCCACTGTCCTTTGCAAGAAGGAAAGCGTGCCCTCTCAGCAGTGCTGCTGCATCACTGTGTGTCTCCCGATGCTACAAAATGTCTGTATCCACGTTATTGTTTTTAATTTTGAGTCTCTCTTTTATATTTGATTCGGGGTTTTTTCTTTTTCTTTTGCATCTACATTCTTTATGTTCATTTAAGCAAGGAGTGAATGATAGGAAGTATTTTTAACACTTCTGGGGAGCTGCCAGCCCAGCTTTTCCACTGACAGTGTGACCTTGGGCAATTTGTTGACTTTCTCTGTTCCTATGCTTCCTTGTCTATAAAATGGAATTAATGCTAATACCTTCCTTAGAGAAGTGTCACGAGGATTAAACAAAATGATAAAAACAAAGTGCTTCACATAGGACTGAGCCACATAAAAAATATTTTTTAAATATAAGCTATTACAATTATTTTTGTCAAAATGGAATTATCTGATCCTTCAATATGTCTCAAAATGAAGCAAAATAATCAGGAGTGTTGTAATCGTTGATGGAATAATTTTATTTCTGCCTTTTGTTTTTAATAAATAGACCTCATTTGAGAGCAGAGATGGAATGCAGAGGTTGCAACTCACCACTTTCCAAGCTCGGATGGGCCTGAGCAAGGTGAGAAAGAACATGAGAGGACACAGTACACGGGCTCCCCATGGAAAGAGTGAGGAAACCAATACCAAGAGGGCGAAACCCCAGGCCGGGTCAGAGAGGGCTGCTTTGCTGGGAACTCAGGCAGGAAACAAGGCCTCTCAGTGTGTGTGGGAACTGGACCCCTGCACATTACATATGGGCAGTGGCTTCCCTGCCTCCTCTCTGCCTCATCTTGGCCAGTGTCTCCTGTCTCCATTCCTCGGGGTAGACCCACACCTGTGGCTTTATTTGTATTGCAGGGTACGCCTATATCTCATCACAAAGTCCTCAGGGCTCTACTCAATTAAAAAGAATTTCCCAGCCCCTTGTAAGGCTGGGAACAACTCACTTCCCATCCTGCCAGGAGACATGTCCCAGCCACCACCACAAGTGTGACTATGTTTCAATGCAGCTAGGAGGTAGCTCTGATGAACACAGTTGATCTCAACCCTGCATGGTGACTCTGCCCCTTAGCCCTTATACACATCCATGGAGTTTCCATGGGGACCTCCACAAAGTGCCACACTTTCTCTGTTACACCAGATCGCCCTGACACTAGGAAATTATATGGGATGATACTGAAGTTATGGAGAGTAGCATCACAGAGCTAGAATTGACTCCCCATTGTAGACCATGTATAAACTATGATGAATGCCTGCCCCACCCCTTCCCTGGGACAGGAGATTGGAATCTGGTTTCCAGAATAAAGAACTTTCCATAGGGAAAGGAGCCAAAGCCCATAACCAAGTCATAGCACTAAGAAAACAGAGTCCTCCCCACAAGTCCTCCCTTGGAAGGAACAGAGCTGGGCATTTTAGCTAGTCCATATGTTGTTTCCCATAGAGGTGCAACTAGCCAATAGAAATTGAAACCAAGATTGTAAAGGACTGAACATTTTTTATTTTATAATTTTTATTTCACTTGACCTCAGTGACTCTCTGGGTCTTAACAAAACAAATCTGGTGCGGAAGCAAACTATACCCCCAGAGAACTGGAGTTTTCTGCAAATTTACCTCTATTCCCTCCTACCTGTTCAGCAAGGGCTTAGAAGTATAAGCAAAAGAAATTAAACATGACAGAATAGGTAGGTCTAACAAGTAAGCACTGGAGTAAGATATAAAATATTTAGTGAGGATTTTAATCACTTTCTGCCACTAAACCTCTGGGTCATGCAACCATCATCATTAATTTGTCTCTCTTCATTAAGCCAATCTATGTGTTAGCAGAATAGAGAGCCTCCTCCCAACCCTTAGTGCTACCATATTTTCCAGAGCAAACTTCTGAAGCACAATGCAATGTCCAACTGTTCTTCAAGGATCAAGTATTGATTTCAGGCCTGGTACTGAGCCAGGAGCTGGGAATCACATGTGGTTACTGCTCTCAAGGAACTCAGAGTTGAGCGATAAAGGCCTACATATTCACACACTGATACATAAGAATAAAGCCATACATGGAGATATGTACAGGGCCAATAAGAATATGAGCACATGGCTAGGGGCAGTGGGACTGAGGAAGCCACTGCTAGGGTATGGTCAGCAAAAAATAGTTCCAGATATAAGGTGAAGTTTATGTCGTCTCTAAAATTATGCTGCTCAAAAACTCAGTAGCAAGAAAACCACCCAATTTTAAAATGGACAAAGAACCTGAGTAGACACTTCTCAAAGGAAGACTTCTAAATGGCCAACAGCTATATGAAAAAATGTTAAACTTCACTAATTATCGTGGAAATGCACATCAAAACCACAACGGGATGTCACCTGTTAGAATGGCTATTATCAAAAAGACAAAAGATAACAAGTGTTGGCAAGAATGCAGAGAAAAGGGAACCCTTGTACACTGCTGGTAGAAATGTAGATTAGTGTAGCCATTATGGAAAGTAGTATAGAGATTCCTCAAAAAATAAAAATAGAACTACCATGCAATCCAGCAATCCCAATTCTGGGTATATATCCAAAGGAAATGAAATCAGCATGTTGAAGAGATATCTGCACTCCCATGTTTACTGCAGCTCTTTTGACAATAGCCTAAATATGGAGTTAACCTGTGTCCATTGATGGATGAACAAAGAAAAATGTGGTATATATACACAATGGACTAGTATTCTGCCTTAAAAAAGAAGGAAATCCTGTCATTTACAACAATATAGATGAACCTGGAGGACATTAAGTGAATTAAGGTAAGCACAGAAAGCCAAATATCGCATCATCCCCCTAATATGTGAAATCTAAAAGTGTCAAACTCTTGGAATCAGAGAGTAGAAGGATGCTTACTGGGGCCTAGGAAGTAGGGGCAATGGAGGAGATGCCAAAGGATACAAAATTTCAGTTAGACAGAATAAATTCAGTTCGAATAAATTCAAGAGATCTACTATACAACATGGTAACTATAGTTAATAACAATGTACTGTACAGTTGAGAAAGAAAGAAAAAGAAAGAAAGGAAAAGAAGACAGAAAGAAAGAGAAAGCAAGAAAGAGAGAAAGAAAGAAAAAGAAAGAAAGAGAAAGAAAGAAAGAAAGAAGGAAAGAAGAAAAGAAAAGAAAAAAGAAAAGAAAAAAGAATTGTGCTGAAGTTCACGGGTGGGCAAAAGCAGCATCTAAACCCCACATGCTACAGTCTTGGAAGGCACACAGCAGTGCGGTGCTCAGGAAAGGCACAGGATGGGTAGAAAAGGGCCAGATGATGAAAGACCTGAGCCATGAAAGGTTTGAAGCTGGGAAGTAACAGGATATGGTTTGCCTTTTGGAAAGGAATCTCCAGCAGCATCATGGAAGACCCATCATGGGAAAACAGGCTGAAATGCAGAGACCCATTGGAATGCCATTGTAATCAACTAAGGGAGATAGTAAAGATATGAACTAAGCTCTAGAAATAGAGAGGAAGATAATTGGAGGGTTATTTAGGAAGCAGAGCCAAAGCGCTTAGTAATTCACTGAATGCAAGATGCAAAGCGGGGGAGGCGGCCTGGTGGGCTATCATAGGAGATGTTGCCTTGGTTTGAGTTACCCCAGCAACAGATCCTGAGACAAGAATTGGGAGGTGAAAACAGGAAGCACAAGGGAGCAGTGGAACAGGTCAGAGAAGGAATAAGGAAAGGGAATGTTGGTGAGCAGCACATCCCTGTGGGCATAGGGGCTCAATCCCACTGGGACCCTCTCGGATACTATGTAGAATACAGAACTGACCCAGGGATGAGGAAGCCTGGTACACACCCACCAACTCTCATCCCTCAATAGTTGAGGGTCAATTGGGAAAGCGCTGATTCCCCAGCACTTGTGACCTGCCCCGAGCCAGGCTGAGAGAGCCCTCAGACCAATGAAAGCCCTCAGACAGAGGGACACAAATGCCTGAGGTGGGAAGCTGTTGGTGTGACTGAAAGCATCCACCAACATTACAGGTGACCTCCAAAATAGATGGAGGGGTAAGGGCAGGGCTCAGCATATTCTGTTAGGTATTTAGGAGGTCACAGACAGATTGTCTAGCAAGATAATAATAGATAACTTCTTTCCAGGCACAATGGCTCATGTTTGTAATCCCAGCACCTTAGGAGGCCAAGGCAGGTGGATTGCTTGAGCCCAGGAGTTCAAGACCCTCCTGGGCAACATGATGAGACCCTGTCTCTACAAAAAATACAAAAATTAGCCACATGTGGTGGCGCATGCCTGTGGAACCAGCTACTCAAGAGGCTGGGAGGATCACCTGAGCCTGGGGAGGTCAAGGCTGCAGTGAGCCATGATCACACCACTGCACTGCAGCCTGGATGACAGAGTGAGACCCTGTCTCAAAAAAATAAATAAATAATCAACAACTTCTGAGGTATCATGTTAATTTCACCCGTTAACACATTTTTAAGTGAGCTATAATATACACTAATTATACACATTAAGGAAAGCCCAGAGCTTACTAGGTGAGTTTCACCAGTCATCTTGTACCTATTAAAGTGTTGTTTCATGGCCACAGAGCCACAAAGAAACAGAGCCAGAATGATCAACTGATAATAGAAGCATCAAGACCACAACTATAATGCTATACATAACTACTCATTATTAGGAGAGTTTACAAAAAATTTGGTACAAGATCTGAGAATGCTGGGAACACAAGAAGCTTCCAAATTAGGAACTGATTCTGGGTAAATGTGGATGTCTCATGCCTGAAGAGAGGGAAGCCAAGTATAGTTTGATACTCATCTTTTGAGTCTTGGAACTGTTGGATTGGGTCTCTGGACCAACCACACCCTGGAATTTTCTGAGGACATTTTGATTTCTCCTTTTTTGCATTCCTAGGGATCCCAATCTCTTCCCACGTTCAAGAAGGTGGCTGCCAAGAGACCTCAAGGGACTGTCTCAAAAGAAATACATATGAATGTGAACAGGATTTGTAGCCCCAGAGAAAACTCCACACACTTTTAAACTTATCTTGGGATAGATCAGACGTTTCCTACCCGCAGATTGGAATCAGCCTGAACCTAAAGTATTTAATTTCCATATTTAAAGCAGTAGTTGCCATTGGTATATAATACAAACCATCCCGCGCAGCTGTGATTCAGGCATATACTGATTACTACTAAACTACCCAGAATTCGAGCTCAATTTCACAAGACAGAAATATGACTTTTTTTTTCTTTTGGTCATAGAAGATCACCCAAGGAAGTAGCATGACAAAATGTTTCCTGATGCTGTTACAGGCGTATGGCTGAAACTCAACCTCACACACATCTGTACAGAAATTTACAGTGCAACCCACAAATATCTGAGCTTTCTGGCAAGATTAACACCCGAGCAGCAGCAAGCTTTCTGCCACTAATTATTTAAGACATCTCCTGCTTTGCTTTTGTAACATCCTGAGCTGTTTATCAAATAGGTCATAACATGAGAAAGTATTCATGCCATCTTTAATCAAGAAAAAAATCTGCCTGGATGAGGAGAGAAGGAAAAACACTGTTGCAATACAGCAACAATCAAATTATGTCTATAATGGGCTTTAAATCTTTAGAAGAAAAGATCTACAGTTTAGCAGCACAAAGCAGTATTATTCCTGTTGTTATTAAAAAGTGCCCTCTAATCCTTCACACATATGTAATACATCTCATCCAAGGATCTAAGTCCATTATAAATAAACAAGAAGCTACAGTTTATAAAATCTGGCCAATGCCACAAAAGAGATACAACTCACTGGTTATAAGTAAGCCAACACTTTTAGAAAAACTCACTAGCTAATGATATAAAGTCTGTTGGTCTCACCAAAGTTTTGGGAAATAACTGGTTCTTGGTATACAAAAGGTGTTCAATAAATGCTTATAAATACAAAGACTGATAGAGGATCCCATATAGGAACGTTCTAGAGATTAGTTAATTCATATGAGTTTTTTAAATAAATGTTTGTTATATATAAATGTTACCATTAAGTATATAATCCCTTATGAATTCACTGTTATCCAGCAGGTGTGGAAATCTCAGTATCCAAGCAGAGAAATATTAATTACCGCCCTGCTGCCTGTAGCTTATCATCTTTGCACACCTCTGTAGAATTTAACTCCTTATAACTACATGTCTAAATCCCAGTGAAGAAGGAGCAAAGCTCTCAAAAACTGAGACAAGAACACCTAAAAAGCCACCATGTTTAAGTAGCATAAACACTGCAATTAGCTGTTAAATGTAACCCCTTTGTTCATTCAACAGATGTTCACTGACAATCATGTATTTATTCAAGCAAGAAACATTTGAATAATAATATATGCTGGACCTTATGTTTCATACTGGCTTAGAGAAGTGTAGAAGACTATAATACATCAAAGAATAATAAAAAGTACATTTAAACTAATTAATGCAATCTAGGGTGACTATCAACAGGACTTGTAGCCCTAGAGCAGGGTTTCTCAACCTTGACACTGCTAAAATTTTGGGTCAGATAATTCTTTGTCGTGAGTAGATGTGCATTGTAGGGTGTTTACCTGCATCCCTGGTGTCTACCCACTAGATAACAGTAGCACTCAACTGCCCCAACCCATTGTGACAACCAAAAATATCTCCAAACCATTACCAAAAGCCGCTTGGAGGGCAAAACTGTCCCCCAGTTGAGAATCTCAGAGATCTCAGATGCCCTAGAGATCTCAGAAAATAATTAACATTCCTTCCGTTACATATTAACTGAACAGCACTCATTAAAACATTTAATTGTATCTTTAGCCAACACATCTCCATGTATTTTCATATCTGTGTATTCAAGTCAAAGAGTCTCCAGGGACCACTTGTACAATGAGCCATCCTATTTCAACAAGGCAACTTTTTCATTTCTTTGTTATAAAGCTAGGCTCCAAAAATAAAATTTGTATCCAAAAAAACAAAACAGATCATTCACTGATCAGCTAAAAGACTGCATATAAGATGACAGTGAATCTCCGTGATGTCATATGTCAAAGAATGACACAGAGATGTACAGTTACTTATCTGCATGCCAAAAAATTTACTTGTATATAAAGGAGATTGTCATTAGGCTGTCGTCAATGAAGAAAGGTAAAAACAGGATTTATTTTAAGAAAAAAAAAAAAGAAAGAAGAAAAGAAGCAGTGAGAACAATGAGCCTTATTTTCATTTTTGGAGGTAAATTAATTACCTGGCAGCTAGCACAGAGGTCTGTCTGGGCAGTCTGCCCTTGAACTGGCTGCCTAAGCTATCAAACAAAGCAATTTCAGTTGATGATGGATTCTCCAAGAAACGTTGATGGTTAGTTGTAGAGATTGCATGAGAGGCTGCCCCTGAGACATATGTGCTGGATCCTTTATCAGCATCTCCAAGGTAGTTAAGCTGGGTCTCTGCCATTTCTCTATTCAGAGTAACTCTCATTGGAAGGCTAATTGGTGATAAAACAACCTGATTTTTCACTCTATAAATGGATGGAAAGGAATTGCTATATAAAGCAAGCTTCAACCTGATTTTTCACTCTATAAATGGATGGAAAGGAATTGCTATATAAAGCAAGCTTCAAATGTTCAAGAGCTAGAAATCTTAGGCCTGGAGATTTCTTTTCAGATGTCAGTTTCTCTGTGCTGCTGCTGCTTCTTTTTGAGACAGGGTCTCTCTCTGTCATCCAGGCTAGAGTACAGTGGCACTATCTCAGTTCATTGCAGCCTCAAATTCCTGGGCTCAAGCAATCCTCCTGCCTCAACCACTTGAATAGCTGGGACTACAGGCATACACCACCACATCCAGCTAATTTTTATTTTTATTTTTGTAGAGACAAGGTCTCGCTATGTTGCCCAGGCTGGTCTTGAACTTCTGAGCTCATGCAGTCATCCCACCCAAGCCTCCCAAAGTGCTAGGATTACAGGTGTGAGCCACTTGCTTGTGGCCTGATTTCTCTACTCTTCTAAGTGACAGCTGAGCATGTACCAAGCTTTCCACACCTGTTCACCAAATTGTAGAATCAGCAAATCTCCATTTTCCCTGCTCTTCCTTCCAATCTTGCATTGTGAAGATGCTAGCCATTGAAAAGTGACATTGAAAAATGATAGGAAAGAGATCCTGGAAATGACATTCAACCTTGTTGATGTTTCAGGAAAGGCTACTCCTCCTTTCTTGCTTCATGCTGAATTACTTTCATAAAGAAACACCCATCATTTGACATCCATATTATCACTGAATACAGTTCCTGCACAAGTGGTCAGTCAATAAGTGGCAGACATTGTTTAAAGGTTTATTATGATAGCTACTCCTTATTGAACACTAACTGTGTTCCAGGCATTGGTCTGAGCACTATGTATATTTTTTATTTCATTCACTCCTTACATCAACCTTAAATACTCATCAGGACTATTATCCCCCATTTCACAGATGAAGTACAGAGCAGATATTTCTATTGTTGAAGTTTATAGAAGTATTTTTAAAATTTCAGTGATCTCAGTATTTTTCTTTGGAAATCATTTCCCTTTTCTAGACTAACATTTTTTCTGTTGCCATGCATCTTCAACGCCACCCAAGGCCTTTTAAGTCATCAGCTGTTCTTAAAATGTACTTCAAATTTTTTTAATTTCCCTGTTGAGTTGTGGAGCCCAGAGTTAGAATTCACTGATTCCGTTTTTGAGTGTTTGTTCTAAGCCATGGCTATATTTCTGAGCACACTACCTGCCAGACACTGGAAGTCATTCAAAGACATGACTAAGATATGATTTTTGCATTTTGAGATCCTCCCAAAGAGAAACCGACAAATGCCCAACACAACGAGACATGAGCAAAATACTAAGGGAGCCAAAAGGAGAGAGTAACTAACTCTGCATGGGCCATGAAGGAAATGGCATTTAAACTGAGTTTTGAGAAGGAATGAGAGATAGCTTAGGGAAAGAGGAGAAAGTACTCTGGTCAAAGGAAATAGTCTTATACAAAAGTTGTACCCTTTCACTCTTGCACTATATTATTTAGTCGTTTTTGCAACATTTTCACAGATAGCATGTGTCAAATACAGCAATAGGTGCTGGAGATGCAATGGTGAACAGAGGAGACAAGGTTAGGGCCCTCATGGACCTCATATTTTAATAAGGGGCAGTGTGTCAGCTGATTTCCAGAGATGGCCACTGTCAATCCCTTCCCTTTCAGTATACACATGTCATTCCTTGTTCCTCCCATCAGAAGGTAGAGCTTATGTTTCCTCCCCTGAAATCTGGACAAAGTGACATTCCAGGATGCACAAACTCAGGCATCAAAAAGGGCTGGAAGTTCTCACTTCCTTTTTTATGAAGCTTTGAGCTGCCACAAGAGGTGAGCGGGCTCCCATTCTGGAATGACAGGCCCTATGGAAGAATACTAAGGTATCATATATCCAACTCCACACCACCTTCTGACTGCAACTGCATAAGACAGTCTACCCTACTGCTGCATAACAAACTATCCCAGAACATAGTGACTCAAAACAATAACATTATTTTGCTTATGAATCTTCAATTTGGGCAGAGCCTGGCATCTCCATGTGATGCTGCTTATGGCATCAGCTGGAGTAAACTTGACTGAGGAATGAAGGATTCACATCCAAGCTGGCTCACTTATTTGGGTATCAAGTTGGTGCTGGCTATCAGCTGGAATCTCAGCCAGGTCTGAGGGTTCATCTGGCCTGGGTTTCTTCAAGACATGGTGTCTGGGTTCCAAATGCAAGTGTCCCAAAAGAGAGCCAGGGGAAGCAGCAGCATCTTTTATAAACTACTCTCAAATTCACATAGCATCTCTTCTGCCATACTCTATCAGTTCAGCCATTCACAATGGCCCACCCAGCTCAAGAGAAGGATTCAACCATTTGATCCAGGCATGGAAAGACTCTTGATGAGCATGTAGAATGGAGAATATTGTTGTAGACATTTTCATCCATGAAGTCTAAGCAAGGCTGGTAGAAGAACTGACCTCCTACTCCTCAGCCAACCCATAGAACCATGAGATATAAAATAAATGTTGTTTTGAGCCACGCAGTTTGGTGTTGTTTGTAAAAACAGCAAAAAGACCATTGGATAGCTAAGACACACATGTACAAATTATGCACGTATACATGTACGGGCAACAACAATCAAGTTCTAAAAAATACATTTGAATAGAAATTTAACAGAGTGATGAGAAAGAAAGGGATTGAGATCTATTCTAGATTGGACAAAGAAGATCTTTCTTACAATTTTCTATGGTTTGAAATTTTTACAAGGAGAACGGATTAATAGGCAGTTTCAAAAACAAGAATTATTTTAATGTAGACAGATGGAATTAGATTAATGTAAAAGCCCAGGAGTTCAAGCCCAGACTGGGCAACACAGCGAGACCCCACCTCTACTAAAAATTAAAAAATTAACCAGGCATGGTGGCATATGACTGTGGTCCCAGCTACTCAGGAGGCTGAGATGGGAGGATTGCTTGAGCCCAGGAGGCAAGGCTGCAGTAAGCCGTGATGGCACCACTGCACTCCAGACTGGGTGACAGAGCAAGACGAAGGAAGGAAGGAAGGTAGGAAGGAAGGAAGGAAGGAAGGAAGGAAGGAAGGAAGGAAGGAAGGAAGGAAGGGAGGGAGGGAGGGAGGGAGGGAGGGAGGGAGGGAGGGAAGGAGGAAGGAAGGAAGGAAGGAAGGAAAGAGAGAGAGGAAGGAAGGAAGGAAAGAAAGAGAGAGGAAGGAAGGAAGGAAAGAGAGAGAGGAAGGAAGGAAGAAGGAAGGAAGGGAGGGAGGGGGAGAGAGAGAGAGAAAGAAAGAAAAGAAAAGAAGAAAAGAAAAGAAAGAAGAAAGAGAGAGGAAGGAAGGAAGGAAGGAAGAAGGAACAAAAAAGACTAACATAGAAAACAGAACAGAGAAAAATCTCACCCTACAATAGACCTTGCATAGGAGTTTATATAGGTAAAGTAACTTCTTCCCCAAACAGCCCCCAAAGAATCTCCAAGCTCTGAGTTAACAAGGCAGAGAACACAAACAGGGAAGGGAGCAAGCCTGCAGGAGCTTAAAAAACAGCCACCCCCATGTGGTCGGACATGCTCCCAAGGGGGTTGCCATAAAGGTTATTATGCAAGGCAAAAATTGACTGGCGTCATCATTGACCTTAAAAATGTCTTCAATCACCGTAAGACTATAAAGATGCTGCCTCTTGAGACAGCTTTCTCTCCAGCATTGGAATGGATCTTAATTTTTCACTTGAGCACCAAATAAAGTTCTTGACTTGCCTTGAGAGTGCACAATATACAGAAAATAACATATCTTTAAATGTTATAATCACATTCAGCCTGATGAGATGCTCAACTCTGAGTGACACATTGCAAATTCATAATACTCATTCTTGCTCTTTGCCAATGAGTAGACCGGAGGTTCATTGGTGTGCTACTTTTAGTTTTGTGCCCTCTCTTCTCTCCTTTTCTCTTATCCCTCCTTTCTCTCACTCTTTTTTTTGTTAAAAATATTGCCTTGTTCTGATTACAGGTTATAACTATTGATTAATGTTTGATGTTATATTTATATAAATGTTTGAAATTACTTTAACAATAGAAGAATAAAAATAAAATTTTTCTTCAGTATCTATTGCTGTAACTTAAAACAACAAGAATCATTTTCTCATTGCTCAGGATTTGGGGAATAACTGGGCACAACTAGGCATAAAGCCTCCACTTACACATTCAGCAACTGATGCTGACTTTCCACTGGTACCTCAGCAGAAGCTGTTACCCGGAACACCTAGACATGGCCTTTCCATGAAGCTTGGGCTTCCTGAAAGCATGGTGGCTGGGTTCCAATGGAAAGTATCTTAACAGAGAGAGGAAGAGAGAGAAAGAAAGAGAGAGAGAGAGAGAATGAGAGCGAGCATGCACCAGGCAGAAGAATATGTAATGCCTTTAGTGAACCCACTTTGGAAGCTATTCATATCACTTCTACCACATTCTCTGTTAGAAGTGAGTCATTAAGGTTGGCCCACGTTCAAGAGGAAAGGATTCAGACTCCATCTCTCACTGGGAAATGTCAAAGAACTTACAGACAAGTTTTAAAATTATTTCAGATATATTATTTCCAAAAAATTACTAGCAGTTTAAAGACAGAGTACACACACAAAAAGTATAGTCAGGTCAAAAGTCAGAAAAAAATAAAACATTTCAAAGGTAGTAAACAAAAATAAGGTGACAGTTTTAAAATCTCAAAAAACAGTTAATATGAATGGTTTGTTTCTGGTGTTAAAAACACAGAGACTTACAAATTGTATTAAAATTAACAAAGCTAAAGAATACCTACTGTCTGATGTTTTTAGAGACACACCAAAGATGTGAAACGAAATATGAAAAAGGATATGTAAAGCAAATTAAATGTCACATGAAAGAGAATCAATGGAAAAAACAACACTAGTGTAGAATAATATAAGCTAATAAAGTGCAGTGTATGCTAATAAAATTATCCAGAAGATATAACAGTCATAAATTTTTATGTAAGGGCGTAGTTTCAAAATATACAAAACAAAAATGTTGGAAAGTCAAAGAACAATTGGCAAACCACAGACAAAATGGGAGTCTTTCACTTCTCCATATTCAGAAATAGATCAAGCACACAATAAATAAATAACTGAATTTGCAAGCCTGAATTAATAGATACAAATACACATACTCTTCAAAAACCTATGAAACACCAGGTGTGGTGGTTCATGCCTGTAATCCCAGCACTTTGAGAGGCCAAGGTGGGTGGATCCCTTGAGGCCAGGAGTTCAGGATCAGCCTGGCCAACATGACAAAACCCCATCCCTACAAAAATAAAATAAAATGAAATTAGCCAGTCGTGCTGGCACACACCTGTAATCCCAGCTACTCCAGTGGGTGAGACATGAGAATCTCTTGAACCTGGGAGGCCGAGGTTGCAGTCAGCGGAGATCACACCACTGCACTCCAGTCTAGGCGACAGAGCAAGACGGCCTCAAAATAATAATAATAAAATAAATAAATAAAAAACCTATGAAACATTGCAAAATTGGTCTGGATGGCCCCAAGGAAATGTTCAGTTAAACCCAAAAACTAAAGATCACCCGTGTCATGTTATCTAAATGCAATTAAAAAAAAAACTGGAAATCAACAATAAAAAAAAATCCAACTTGGAATTTTAGAACATGTATCTGTATTAATCTTAAGACAGATTAAAATTGAAACTACATATTATTTTAAATAAGTGAAAACACATAGAAATTCCTGTAGAATACTGTAAATCAATATTTGGAAAAATATTTATAGCCTCAAACTCGATTATGCATTAGAATCACCTCGGAGATCTTATTTTAGAATACAGGTATCCGAGACACAACCCCCAAGTTTCTGATTCAGAAATGCTGAGTTAGGGCCTCAGAATTTGCATTTTGACCAAGTTTCCAGGTGACTTTGAGGCTGCTGGTCCTAGGGCCACAGTTTGAGAACCACCGTAGGGACTGCACTTTGAGAACCATGGTTTTATATTTCTACTTAAATGTCCTCTATAGAGAAGGCCCTCTGTGACCACCTAACTCAGCACCTGGTGCATTTCATTCATTTTACATTTTAACATCTTATTACAAGTTGTTTAATTATTTACCGTCATTTTTCCTCCAAGAGCATAAGAGATTATCATAATGATATGATGCTGATGATGATGAACCAGCAGTTTTTTAAATAAAGAGTAGATGCCAGATATAACACGGTAAATTGGTAAGAAACAAATGCCATAGATGACAATAAGTCAGTAGGTATTCCCAAGTCTATAGCCAGAATTTCCTGTTGATCCAGCGGTTCTTACATATGGCTGCATATTGGCACCACCTGGGGAGTTTTGATAACAACTGATGCCTGGGTTCCCACCCCAAAGATTATAATTTAATTGGTCTTGGGTGTGACCTTGGCATTGGGAGTGCTACAAATTGCCAGGTGGTTCCTATGTGCAGCCAAGATGGAGAACCACTGACCTATAACAGGAAAATTGAGGTATAGATGACTATACATTTCCCCTACTCTTAAAGGAACGCAACAAAAGTTTGGATACCAATTTCTGCCTTCTCATAGATTCCATGGGAGTTGTGTCTGCTGCGGAAAAGCAGATACAGCTCCTTCAACCCCTTCCAACCAGTTTCCACTGAACAGACACTGCTTTATGGTACACTGCCTTCCCGTCCCCAACATATTTCATAGCAATTGTAACAACGGTATGGATTACAAGTGAGATGCTTTGAATGTTATTTCCATTTCCCCATATCTTGACATTTGAGATGTAACCACAGACTTTGCATCCCCTTGGACTGGTTGAGGGGGAGATTCTGATTAATGTCCTTTCAACTCCCATATGAAACACATGGCTTGTATTAGAGACAAGATGAATGAATTGATACATTGGGAACAGGCTTCACATTAGACGAACATGACTTACTAAAGCCAGGAATGTCACAATGATTAAATCTATCCATGTATGTGAATCAACATGTCTCCTTTGGAGAGAAGCTCTTTTAAATGGGCTGTGTTCACCAGCAAAGCGGGTCCAGCAGCAGGGCAAAAATCTTCCTCATCACTGAACAGAAATCATCATTGACATAACTGGGAATGTTAGAAATTTAATAGGCTGACAGTACAAAAATAAATTTACCTCGTTCTCTGCTCTGATCAGTTGTATTTATTCTCTTTCAAATATTTAGTTCAAAAATACAAAATTCATTGCCAAAATTTGTATTTTATCTGTATTAAGGTTGCCAGGTGAAATACAGAACACCCAGTTATATTTGAATTTCAGGTAAGCCACAAATATATTTTTAGCATAAGTATGTCTCATGTAATATTTGGTACATACTTATACTAAAAAAAAGTATTCCTTGCTTATCTGAAATTTAAATTCAACTGAGTGTCCTGTATTTTTTATTTGCTAAATCTGGCAATGCTAACTACTGTGGACTTCCACATGTTACAGTCACATTCTTCAGTTTTAGAGAACTTTTTTTGGTGGGTGTTTGGTCAGAAGATATGGTCTTATCACTAAATCAATGTATTAAATTTCCCTGCTGGTAAAAAAGAATCTTTCTATAGACAGACAGTACCAACAAGTTAACCTCAATCTGACATGAATGAAAACCGTTTCTAAGTGGTTATCGTTTCTAAAACAGAAATCCATCTACAATAAATGTAATTATTTCAGTAAAATTGTTTGCATGTGTTTCTTTTCTGCACCAGGCCTTGTTTCTGTACCATCTGAGTTGCCTTCATCTGTTACTTTGCAGACCTTTCTTTGCCTGTATCTTTGATTTAAATTTATCATGACACATTTTTCAACAATAGCAGGAAACCTCACTTATGACTTTAATTATAAAATGGTGTTATAAAATTATATCCACATTTTACTTTTGGCAGGCAGCAGTCCTCATTTAATGAGAATATCTCAAGTTGGCCTCTGCAGTTCTCTTTGGTTGATTTCAGTGCTTACTGTATGTAATTGATATAAAAACACAAGGTTTAGGAAGCAGTTATTGGAACTTGTTAAAAGAAGTAGCCACATTCATAAATACTTCATTCTGCTGTGTAACTTGCCAAGAGAATTAATAACACACTTTAGGGAATATGGAAGAAATTCTGACTTTTTAAAGAAAAACCAATATATTCTGCTCACATGTTAATTGTTTGACTAGAATGTCTATATTTCTCTTCAAATTCTGTGTCTAATAAAGAAAAAGAAAGTGAACTGGACAAACATGCATGCATCTCTATAAATACCTGTTAGCACTTAAATAATGCTATTGTCCTTTATTTGTGAGAAAAAGTAGAAATATGTCAGTTCTCTAATAGGTATATTAGAAAAGACCACAATAAAAATCAGGAAAAAAGCCATCATTGAAAACCTCACATTTAATGCTGTCTGAGATAATCTCAATAAATTCTAAAGTAGAAACTTTAAAACATAAAAACTAGTGATACTTTCTATTAATGTAGGCATATTATCTCATTCCTCTGGCTTGACAGCAAATGTAGTTTTATAACTTAAAAGAGCTACTTTGTTTGCATTTATCATTTACATACTACCAATAATATATTTTGCTTAGTAAAGAACAAACAAGGCGGAAAGCAGAGCAAATTTAGTAAATTGTATTTCTAGTCCTAATAAGGAGGGAAAGAATATTCATAGCCCTCCACCATTTATTTTTAAAATAGCTAGATTGTACTTTGACAATTGATATGAACAATGTATATGCCTAGGAGCCTAAGAAATATGTCTCAGAAAGGAGAAATATTTGTTTCTCACAATATCATGAATTAGATTGATCTAAACTACAAAGATTCCCCCAACATATGACCCCAAATTTTAAGTCATTCACTGTAACTTGAGCAATACAAGCAGGAAATAATAAAGTGCTAAATGATGTGTTACTAACTCTAAGAACAATGAACACCAGAAAGAGGAGAGAACAGTGTAACTTGGAATTCTGAGGCTTAAATAATATTTAGAGAAATTTAGATTAGATAAGACACCACACATGGAGACTGGCCATTGGGGATAATACATCACTGATGATTACCAAAATAGCAAAGAAGAAAAAGGTGAAACCTGATATGAAAACTGAAGTCGGTCATATACAGTACAGGCAGGGCATCTTCACAGAAAGAACAATTCCAAGGAGAGGGGAATATAAACCAGAAAACTCAAAGGAATCGCATCAATTACTGACTTTCAGAAATGAACTTAAAAAAAGACAATTTAGTCTTGGAACCACTAAAGAATATGTCAAAGGAGCTATTATCCCCTAAAAGACCCTCAGGATGCACTTGTTTTGCTTCTCTCTCACTAGTCCTGCTTTACAACCCCTTGAGAATCAGTGATCAGAAAGACCATCTGCAAGATTAATTCACAGTGGACTCCCGCACTTCAGTTAGTGCTAAGTAGCTTCCCTAATAAATTTTTTACTTACACTGATAATATTAGCTGCTGTGTTAAAAATTTAAATAATCAGTGTTTTGGCCTAGGGATGCATCAAGGAAGTTTATTTTTTCCCAAAATGTTGAGTGAAATAAAATAGAATTTTCTCATAAAAAAATTAAAATGTCAAGCCTGAGCAGTTCTAGAGTTACACTATTCAAGTGATGCCAGAGTTCCAGGCTGATCGGATAGCCTAAAAATCCCAAGGGCATTAGGCATAGGCAAAACAAAACTGTAGTGTAGGCTGCACACAACACATACACACACATGCAAACCATTTTTAAACCCTGATGAAAATAAATTCACATTCAAAAATTATACACCACGTGAGGAAAAAAATCCACTATTAGAGAAAGCCAGCAGATACAACAAACTGGAATATGTATCATACCAAGAATTTGAGATAGTAAAATAATCTGAGAAAGATTAGGAAAAAATATGTTTTTAATAAAGAGCTAAGAAAAAAACATGGACACTATAACAAAAGAACAGAATATTCTCAGGAAAAAAAATAGCTGAAAAGTTTGGAGAAAGAACGAGTCAAATTGAAATTAAATCTCAACAGATAGTTAAAACACAGATTGGTTAAATCGAAAGAATTCATATTATAGAAAATAGAGAAGAAAGAATTATCCAGAGACAAATTTTTCTTTTAAATTAGACATGTGGAAACATGCAGCAGAATGAGAAGATCTAACTTACAAAAAACTGGAGGTTCCCCCCATCCCAAAAAAATACAGAGGTGATATTTGAGAAGATGATAGGAATTTCTAAGAATTGAAAAATATAACTCCTCAGATTAAAGAAGCACAAAACCTGTAAGCATAAAACATAGAAATAAATTCACACCAAAAATGTTTTGTTTTAATCTTGCAAGCATAAAATATAACCAGGCACGGTGGCTCACACTCATAATCCCAATACTTTGGGAGGCCAAAGCAGGATGATCACATGAGCCCAGGAGTTTGAAACCAGTCTGGGCAACATAGAGAGACCCCATCTCTATGGAAAAAAAAATTAATTAACTGGTCGTGGTGGTGTGCACCTGTAGTCCTGACTTTTCAGGAGGCTGAGGTGGGAGGATCACTTGAGCCTGGGAAATTAAGGCTGCAGTGAGTCATGACTGTGCCACTGCACTACGGTCTAGGTAATAGAGTGAGACTCTGTCTCAAATAAATAAATAAAACAACTATAAAAATAAAACCATGCCTAGATATATTTTAACAAATCTGAAAAATAAAAAAAGACAGTCTTACAGGAAAAAAAATGGGGAGAAATTAACTACAAAGAACAATCAGAATACTTTTCCAAAGCAATAACGGGTATCAGAGAAAATGGAAAATACCTTCAATGTGTAGAAAGAGCTAGCTATGGCCTTAAAACTCTGTACCCAGCTAACCATGATTTCAAAATGAAAAGTGAAAAAAAAATACGTTTTTAGTTATCTAAAGAGAATATATTACACAGACTTTTACTGAAATAACTACTAAATCATGTTCTTCAGTAATAGATCAACTGAACCCAGAAGAAAAATGCTAAATGCAAGAAGCAATTGTGAGCAAATAAATGTTAAAAACACAGTTACAATAATAATAATAATAATAATCAATAATGACTCATTTGGGTATAGAGAAAAATGTATAGCTAAACATAAGACAAAAGAATCCTGAAAGATGGAAGAAGATGGCAATCGGCCGGATGCGGTGGCTCATGCCTGTAATCCCAGCACTTGGGGAGGCCGAGGCAGGCGGGTCACGAGGTCAGGAGATGGAGACCATCCTGGCTAATATGGCGAAACCCCATCTCTGCTACAAATACAAAAAATTAGCTGGGCATGGTGTCAGGCGCCTGTAATCCCAGCTACTCGGGAGGCTGAGTGAGGCAGGGGAATCGCTTGAACCCGGAAGATGCAGGTTGCAGTGAGCCAAGATTGTGCCACTGCACCACTGCACTCCAGCCTGGGTGACAATAGAGAGAGACTCTGTCTCAAAAAAAAAAAGAAAAAAAAAAGAAAAAGAAAAAGAAGATGGCAATCAAGAATTGGTAATCAGATTTAATGATTCTAAGGAGCTTGTTTTGATCAGGATAAGGGTAGGGGCGTTGGTTAAGTTTAAATTTGGTTGAATAAAGTATGTAAATTTTTTAAATTTTCTTTATTTTTCCATAAGTTAATGAGGTACAGGTGGTATTTGGTTACATGAGTAAGTTCTTTGGTGGTGATACGTGAGATTTTGATGCACCCATCACCCGAGCAGTATACACTGCACTGTATTTGTAGTCTTTTATTCTTTGTACCCCCTCCCACTCTTCCCCCAAAGTCCCTAAAGTCCATTGTATCATTCTTATGCCTTTGCATTCTCAAAGCTTAGCTCCCACATATCAGTGAGAACATACGATGTTTGGTTTTCCATTCCCAAATATATAAATATCACAGTTTCTTTATCCACTTGTTGATTGATGGGCATTTGGGTTGGTTCCACAATTTTGCTATTGTGAATTGTGTTGCTATAAACGTGTGTGCAAGTATCTTTCTCGAATAATGACTTATTTTCCTCTGGGTAGATACCCAGTAGTGGGATTGCTGGATCAAATGGTAGTTCTACTTTTAGTTCTTTGAGGTATCTCCACACTGTTTTCCATAGGGGCTATACTAGTTTACATTCCCACCAGCAGTGTAGAAGTGTTCCCTGTTCACCGCATCCATGCCAACATCTGTTTTTTGATTTTTTCATTATGGCCATTCTTCAGGAGTAAGGTGGTAACGCATTGTGGTTTTGATTTACATTTCTCTGATTATTAGTGGTGTTGAGCATTTTTTCATATGTTTGTTGGCCATTTGCATATCTTCTTTTGAGAATTGTCTATTCATGTCCTGAGCCCACTTTTTAATGGAATGGTTTGTTTTTTCTTACTGATTTAACATTTAAGTATAACCCCTAAAACCATGGAAATAGAAGCTATGATTTCTAAACTAATAGAGAGGAGAAAACAGGGAATATAAAAAACTCAATAAAATAGACACCAGAAAAAGAGAGAAAAGTAGGAAAAATACAAGGTATTTAAAAAATATGAAGTAATGTAATGTAAATAAATTCAAGTATAACCATACTCTCAATAAATGTAAATGAGTTAAACTCACTGATTAAAAAAACAAAGATTCTAAGATTGAATTTTTAATCAGATTTTTATCCAGTTCTATGCTATTTGTGGTAGATGTGATGACATAGATGAAATAGAAATTATGAAAGAAAGGGATGAAAAGATAAATCAGGACTTCCAGTTAAACATAGAAACTCAATCCAATTATTTATCCTTACTTCCCCCTAAAGCCCCAAAAAGGAATTTTAAAAAGGAATAAACATACAAACACAAAGTAAGAGAAGAAGAAAGGAGAAATGTCAAGAAAGTTTTGGAAGAAGGAACACAGATGGATGAGTGGTAACTGGCTCAACAGAGCAGAAAAAGCTGAAAACTAGCAGCCAGTCTGTGGGGTTAAGAAGGCAATATGAAGTGTCTGACTCACATAGGAGAAACCCAGAAATACCTGAAATGGAGGCATCAAGTACCTATGGAAGCCCAATGATGAAAAGCATTGAAAAACAACAATTTGTCTTAAATTCTAAGAAACTTGTTCCCTGTTACACAGAGCCTCTCAAGCCTAACAAAAGATGGATCTACTCCCAGGAAGGGCCATTTCAGATAGGCTCTTATCTACGAGAAGAAGCACAGTGAAGGGCAGGGATGAGGAGCCAAAGTGAAAACAGAGAAATAATTTCATGATAAGATTACAAATGCCCTTCTTGTCTTGGCACTGAGAACGTTTGACTGCCAGGCCTAACCCGCAGGCAAAGGATTAAATGTTCCACCCTAGTGAAACTGAACAGTCCAAAAGAAAACATACCAACACTTAGATTTGGGTGCCAAAGACCTTAGTAATAGGGTACCTACCAAATAATCTACAGTAAGAATCATTCTTTTGAGAAGTGTCTGTTCATATCCTTTGCCCACTTTTTGATGAGGTTGTTTTTTTCTTGTAAATTTGTTTGAATTCATTGTAGATTCTGGATATTAGCCCTTTGTCAGATGAGTAGGTTGCAAAAATTTTCTCCAATTCTTCATTTATGCAGCCAAAAAACACATGAAAAAATGCTCATCATCACTGACCATCAGAGAAATGCAAATCAAAACCACAATGAGATACCATCTCACACCAGTTAGAATGGCTATCATTAAAAAGTCAGGAAACAACAGGTGCTGGAGAGGATGTGGAGAAATAGGAACACTTTTACACTGTTGGTGGGACTGTAAACTAGTTCAACCATTGTGGAAGTCAGTGTGGCGATTCCTCAGGGATGGAGAACTAGAAATACCATTTGACCCAGCCATCCCATTACTGGGTATATACCCAAAGGATTATAAATCATGCTGCTATAAAGACACATGCACACGTATGTTTATTGTGGCACTATTCACAATAGCAAAGACTTGGAACCAACCCAAATGTCCAACAATGATAGACTGGATTAAGAAAATGTGGCACATATACACCATGGAATACTATGCAGCCATAAAAAATGATGAGTTCATGTCCTTTGTAGGGACATGGATGAAACTGGAAATCATCATTCTCAGCAAACTATCGCAAGGAAAAAAACCAAATACCGCATGTTCTCACTCATAGGTGGGAATTGAACAATGAGAACACATGGACACAGGAAGGGGTACATCACACACTGGGGACTGTTGTGGGGTGGGGGGAGGGGGGAGGGATAGCATTGGGAGATATACCTAATGCTAAATGACGAGTTATTGGGTGCAGCACACCAACATGGCACATGTATACATATGTAACAAACCTGCACGTTGTGCACATGTACCCCAAAACTTAAAGTATAATAATAATAAAATTTTAAAAGAAATCATTCTTAATTGGAATAGATTGATGCATTACTTTAATAGGGGGAAAGAAAGGATTTCTGCTATCATTGCTTCAATTCAACATTGGTCTAGATTTCTGAGTTGTATAATAAATTAAGATGACAAAAGAAATAAAAGATATAAGAAGTAAAATCGTATCACATGATTGCCTAAACATAAAACACACGAAAATATCCAAACTATTAAAAGCTTTTAAGTTCAGCAAAGTTGCTGGACAAAGGTAAATATGCAGAAATTAAAAGTCCCTTTAAACATCAGAAAAAAAAATCCTTAGAACATTTAATCAGGGAAAAAATACAAAGCACAGTAGCAACAAAAAACATCTAAATATTTAGAAATAAAAAAGTTGAATAAAAGACACGAAAGTCCTTAATGAGGAAAACTAACAAATGTAATCAAAAGCTGGAGACAGTGACCTAAATTAAACGGATTACCTTGGATGGGAAGACAATATCAAAAAGAAGTTAGTTCTCCTCCAAATTAGTATATAATCCCAAACAAAATTGCTAACAGTGTTTTTCTTCCTTTTTTTTTTCAGGCCACATTCACTGCTTTATTCATAATCACTAAACTTTGGAAGCAACCAAGATGATCTTCAACAAGGGAATGAATAAAGAAATGGTGGTACACCCATAAACAACTGTGATAAAAGGGAAGACACCATTGAACCTACAGTAATATAAATGAAGCTTAGCTGCATTTTGCTAAGTGAAAGAAGCCAGACCCAAAAACTACCCACTGCATGGTTCCAATTCATAGGCCATCCTGAAAAAGGCTAAACCATAGGGACTAAGAAAAAATCAGTGGTTTCCAGGGGCTGACAGAGTGGAGAGAGTTTGACAACAAAGGAGAAACACTGGTGACCTTGAGGATGAAGAAGCTGCTACCTGAGGTGCTGAAGTAGTGAAGTAGCCACAGCACATTGGTTCAGACCCATGGAACTGCACATCCCAAAGACTGAACTTTCATGAGTGCAAACTGGACCTGACCACCACTTATCAGAACAAGAAATAATGCCTTCCTCCTGGAGTTGCCCCAAACCCCACAAGTTTGCCACATGCTACTTGAGCACTGTGAGGTAGCGTGTGCCTTCAGAGCCCACCTTGCTGCCTTTCATCTCTACATGCTAAGTCTCAGTACACCTTGAAATGAAACTCTACCTCACTGTCCAGTACCACCCTCTGGATGGCTGGCAGTCTCCATCAGGTACAGCATATACATCTGCTGGATGCTATAAAACTTGTTCTCCACCGTGCAGGTGGAATGGTCACTGTCCAAGGGAACCACACTCTCCATGACCAGGCTCCACTGCTGGTGTCACAGCTTGATGCCCAATGTGATGCTTTCCATGGAACTCCTCAAAGCTCCTCAACCAGGAGACCAGGGAGTAGAGTTGTCAGTGGCCAGGCAGTGAATGCAAAAATGTTGGGTGGCCGGTACAGCCAGCAGCTTCTTGGCCATCCACTGAGGCCAAGTCCAGGAGTCCAGTAAGGGGTCTCTAGGAAGCTGAGGCTCCATGTAGCCCCTTGGTGTGTGTGTCTGTCAGTGTGTGTGTGTGTGTGTGTCTCTCTCTCTGCCTGACTCTTCATTCCAGCCTCATATGACCTGATGATAAAGGGCTTCCAAAGGTGCCCTCCCTGCTCAGGGCTTGTAAATCTTTCAATTTATTTCCTATTGTGATGTTATATTGAATTTGTACCTTCCCTCTGAAGAACTAGGGGCTACTCAGGCCTGGTTTTCCCTGGGATGCTGAGGAGAATATAAGGGCAGGCTCCCAGGCCAGAGCAATGGTTAGGTAGGCATAAACTGGACACAGGTCAGCAAAAGCTATAGGCATCAGTCAGTATAAATAAGTTTCCCACGTGAAGGACGCCTTGGTCACAGTCCAGACAACTAGGAATTAGGCCATCCACCAGGTAAAAGAAGTATCCGACGCAAAGCACGTGTGGACACCCATGCCCAGTGGCTGCTTGCCACTCTGATACTGGAGCCCCAATTTAGCTGGGGCCTCTCAAAACAAAGGGTCCATGCTACCTGATATCCAGGGCCATTTCTATGTTGGCCTCTCTCAGAACCTCTCTCTCTCTCTCTCTCACACACACACACACACACACACACACACACACACACACACACTCTCTCTCTCTCTCTCTCTCTCTCCCCCCTTCCCTCCCTCCCTGTCACTCTCTCTATATATATACATAATTCTGGCTTCCATCCAAGTCACTAAAGAGACATGTTCCTCCCAGTTCTGGCCCAGGGTCTTCTGCAGGGTCTCTCTCTGGTTGGCCTTGTGAACAGTCCTGTATGAGTCCTACAAGCTTGTCAACAACTGTAAACATTGGTGTCAGCTCTTCTTTAAATGGACAACCTTGAAGTCCACTTTCTTCATAAGTGTCTGTATCCAGTGATAAAATTAATTTCCTGTTCAGGAAGGCAACAGTATTATTTTCATCAATATTTGTATCATATGTTAGTGCAGAGCACAAACCCAGTATTTGTGATAGTACATCTCCTTGAGACACTGTGGCATCACTTGTGACCAAAGTTGGATATCTGGCTGACCAACAAGTGGCCAGAAGCCTCTTACAGCCTGCACAAAGTTGCCATGTGCATGCCAGCCCTCTGTAAGCTCTTCTAACAGTGTTTTTCAAGGTATTTGGCAAGATGAATGTAAAATTTCTTCAGGAGGATCAAAAGACAAGAGTAGCCTAGACAATTTGAAGAAAAAGAAAGGGACTTATCATTAAAGTTTCTAAGAGTTATTAAACAACTGGAATAATTTAAAACATCTGTATTAGCATAGAGATAGAAAAACATCTAGTTTTCAATTAACCTTTTTTTTTTTTATTATACTCTAAGTTTTAGGGTACATGTGCACATTGTGCAGGTTAGTTACATATGTATACATGTGCCATGCTGGTGCGCTGCACCCACTAATAAGCATCCCACTTTCATCCACCATCTCCTATCTTTCCAGCTCACCTCTGTAGTACCCCCAACTAGAACAATCCATGAAACCTGCTGAGACCTTGAACCTGTTGATTTTCCAACATTTTCACCACCTTTGCACTTTTTTCTTCTCTTTTTCACCACCTTCCACCCTCAAGTCCTTTGTTCCACTTGCTCCCCCTCCTTTTCTTATTAATAAATTTATTTAGCAGATGTGGAGACAAAATTGGTTCCATCATGGGTGCTAATCCACCACGTTGACTTCTGATTAGCCCCAGTCCTGTGAATGTCTCCTGATTCCCACTTTATTTACTGTCCTTAGTATAAGAACATGTCATCTTGATGTTAGCACACAAATTATAGACTATGACGCACACAGTATTCTTGTCTGTTCTAGGGGTTACCTTTAATTGCCTTGCTAGAGCATGTACACCTTTTTCTCATAGTACATAAGTCTTAGGTCTGGGAGTAACAGATGTGGAGATCTACCTGTGTTGCAGTGGCCCAAGACCATGCTTCTGTCTGTGAGTTCCCCCAATAAATCAACTTTTACTGATAAACTGGACTTGTCTGCCTTGTTCTATGGTTTCTTGGCACCTTCAGCATTTGTAGATCACTTTGACTGTACAGCCCTTTCACAGAACAGCAGAACCTCATCCCTTGTTAAATCTAATTTTTTACTTTCTGTAAACCTATACTTGGGCTGCTCAACATGGAGAGCAAAAGATACGCAACCATGCTGATTTTTTTTTTTTTTTTTTTTTTTTTGAGACAGAGTCTCGTTCCGTCTTCTTCCAGGCTGGAGTGCAGTGGTGCAATCTTGGCTCACTACAACCTCCGCCTCCCAGGTTCAAGCGATTCTCCTGCCTCAGCCACCTGAGTAGCTGGGATTACAGGCAAGTGCCACCACGGCTGGCTAATTTTTGTATTTTTAGTAGAGACGGGGTTTCACCATGTTGGCCAGGATGGTCTTGAACTCCTGATCCCAGATGATCCACCTGCCTCACCCTCCCAAAGTGCTGGGATTACAGGCATGAGCCTCCGCGCCTGGCCTGACTGATCTCTTTTTAAGTGGATCATTTGTGTGCCAGGGATCATACAATTCTCTTACTCATTCACAGGCTCACTTGGCCAGATGACTATTTCTTATATTTTCTTTTTTGTTCAAACTACAGCTCTTCCTCCTCCATCTTCATCTGGCAAATGGCACACTTCCTGGTGTTCTGAGAACACTGAGGAATTTAAGAGTCAGATTCTTTTTTTTTTTTTTTAGTTATCTACGTAGGCACAACAGTTTAACACAAATTGACATCTCAACAACAACTATGCAGATTAGAAGACATTAGTGTAATATCATCAAATACTAAGAGAAAAAAATTGTCAACCTGTCCTATACATGGCTAATCAAAACTGAGGGTAAAATTAAGACTTTTCAGAAAACCAAAACTGACATAAATTACAGCTTATATGCATTTACTAAAGGAATGTACTCCAGGAAAACAGGAAAATGATCCATAAATAGAAGTCCATGATGTAGGAATGAATGGTGAGCAAACAAATTGTAAATATATAACCTCTACAAATAAGAAGTACATAAAATAACCATAATAGTGCTTAAACTAAGGATTAGAATAAAGTACTGGAAAACAATAAAATTTACAATGGTCGTATGATTAAAGTGTTCTAAGATCTTGAATTCCATGGAGGAGGATAGAAATATTAACTTTAGACATGCATATTAGTATTTGAATAATAACCATTAAAGAAAAAGAGTATAAAACTTTCAAAGGGTAGACAGAAAACGTAACAAAGCTTACTAATCAAATAGAGGGCAAGAAAGCAAAAACAAAGCAACATAGAAAATTGAGTTCAAATTTAAAATACAAAATTAGAGACATACAAAATATACTTGAAATAAATTAAGTATATCAGTTGCCATAATTATGTTATTGGACTAAATTAGCCAGTTTAAAGAGAAGACTTCTTAGGTCAGATCCATCTATCTGCTGTTAACCAAAGATATATGTCAGATAAAAGGAAACAGAAATATTGAGTTCAGTGACATAAACAGCTCATTCCAAGTAACTTTGAATCAAAAGAAAGCTGGTATAACAATATTAACATCAGATGGCACCAGCTTTGCTTTTTTTAAAGGCACTTTTTTTTTTTTAAATTCAGGGGGTATAAGTGCAGGTTTGTTATATGGATATATTGCATGATGCTGAAGTTTGGGCTTCAGTCAAACCCATCGTCCAGACAATGAACATAGTAAACAATATGTAGCTTTTCAAACCCTGCCTCCCTCTTCTCTTCCTCTCCTTTTAAAGTCACAAGTGTCTATTATTCCCATTTTTATGTTCATGAGTATCCAATGTTTAGCTCCCACTTATAAGTGAGAACATATATTATTTGGCTCTCCGTTTCTGTATTTGTACAGCACAATGGCTTCCAGCTGCATCCATGTTGCTGCGAAAGACGTGATTTGGTTTTTTTTTTTTATGGCTACATAGTATTATATGGTATATATGTACTACATTTTGTTTTTCCAATCAATCATTGATGGGCACCTAGGTTAATTCCATGTCTCTGCTATGGTGAATAGTGCTGCAATAAACATGCAAGTTCAAGTGACTTTTTGGTAGAATAATATATTTTCCTTTGAGTATATACCCAAGTAATGGGTTTGCTGGGTCAAATTGTAATTCTATTTTTAGCTCTTTGAGAAATCCCCAAACTGCTTTCCACAGAGGCTGAACTAATTTACAATCCCACCAACAGTGTATGAGTGGTCCTTTTTCTCTGCAACCTCACCAACATCTGTTATTTTGTGACTTTTTAATAACAGCCATTCTAACTAGTGTGAGATGGTTATCTCATTGTGGTTTTGATTTGCATTTCTCTGATGATTAGTGAGGTTGAATTTTTATGTTAATTGGCTGCTTATATATCTTCTTTTGAGAAGTGTCTCTTCATGTCTTTTGCCTACTTTCTAATGCAGTTTTTTTTTCTTGTTGCTTTATTTAAGTTACTTATAAATTCTGGGTAATAGTCTTTTGTCAGATGCATAGTTTGCAAATTTTTCTGCCATTCTGCAGGTTTTCTGCTTATTCTGTTGATAATTTCTTTTGCTGTGCAGAAGCTCTTAATTTGGTCCCACTTACCAATTTTTTTTTAAAGAACTTTATTCTTTATTAAGATACCATGCTAGGAGTTATGAAGGATTTCTGTTGGAACACATTTTGAAAATAGAGTAGCTTTAGTTTAATAACTTGCACTGCAGAGAAAATTGTTAAAGAAATTCATATCAAAGTCCAAGTATTAGTTTAATGTCCCGTATTTGATTCCATGATCTTCACAGGAAGGTCTTCTGCAATAGAATATGCTCCTATACAGCCGAGATATTTAAGGTTGCTTGATTTCCTTACCATTACTCCATTGCAAGCTTCTGGTGTAATCCCACATACCAAGTCAGTCTTCATTGTAACAGGTCAGGACCAGCCTCGACCCCTTTTCCCTGCCCGCGGCCTCTTTGTTGTTGGGCACCTCCTCTCGCACCTCGAACGCCTCTTGCTGATCCAGGTCCTCCTCTCTGTGAATAACCGGCTCTACCACGGGGAAGAGCAGCCCCACGACCTCTGGATGGAGCAGCACCCCTTGCTCCTCTACCACCCCTTCTCTAGCTCCAACTTGAAAATCTTCATAACCATAGTATGGATCTTCATATCCACCACGATAGTTATGGTAATCATAACCATAATAATCATAATAATCTTCATATCCATAATAATCTGGAGGATATCCATAACCACCTCTACCTCCTCGCCCTCCATCTCTTGTTGGAGGGGGCATATAAGGTGGACCATAATAGTAGTAATCGTCATACATTTGATTTTTTGCTGCTTGCCTCTGAGCTTTTTTCTTTCCTTTTCTGATTTGGTGGCTTGGCAAAAACAATTTCAATATTTTCTCCCTCCAAGTCTTTACCATTCATTTCTTCCATAGCCTTGACAGCACCATCTCACTCACCAAAATGAATGAATGGATAATCTTTTAACTTCTTCACTCATTCCAGTTTCCCAAACTGACTAAATGCCTTTTCTAAAATCTCTTCCGTTACAGTATTGGCAAGGTTGCGTACAAACAGCACTTTTACCTTTGCCATAACCTCAGGATCAGGATCTTCCATAGGATCAGCCCATTCAACAGTTCCAACATTCCCCCAGACCTTGACTTTACCACTCATTAACCTACGCCTTGCCTGGGCAGCTGTTTTGTGATCTTCATATTCAAGAAAGCAAAAGCCTGTTTTTTTTCTTGTCATCCGGTTGGTGGTATAAAATGACGTCTGTAAGACCCTCTGTTACTTTTGCTAAATTCTTCAAGAATCTGTTCCTTGGTTTTAACTCTTAGGAATAGAGCCCACAAAAAGCCTATTGTTGGCAACTGAGATGCAGACACCAATGTGTTTTCCAGAACGAATTTCATGATTATTATACAGTTTTAACAGCCTCCCGAGCTGCTTTTGTACAAAAAGTGACAAACACATAACCTCTATTGAGACCAGTGAGTGGATCCATCATTAGACGAAGATCCCATATAGGACCAGCTTTCTCAAATAATGGAACAAGTTCATCCTCAAATAGATCTCTTGGGATCTTTCCCACAAATATCTCAGTGCCAACAGAAGGCTGCTGACCTGAATAAACGGAATCTGGAGGTGGTCCTCCATATTTCCTCTGTCCAGTGGTCACATCAAGTGTGTAGCCTGCTCTTTCCAAGAGTGCCTTAATTTTTGCCTCATCTGGTCCTTTACTAGAATCTGCTACTTTGGTCCCTTGTTTTTCTCTCTGCCTATAAGGTTTCATGACTCCACATAAAAAGGCACTTTTGTTCTGAACACGAGAGAGATCACTGTCTTTAACTGTTGAAGAACTGCCAATGCACCGTCTTCATTGAATTCTTTTAAAGCTTCAATAGCTCTTTCATCTAAATGACTATGTGCAACTAGCCCTGCAACGTAAATTTCATCTAGTTTTTCAGCAACTTTCTGTGATAAACCAGCATCAAGCAATGTCTGAAAATTTTCTGAATGGATAACTGCAGAAGTAGTATCCATGGGCTCTTCAGTATCATTTCCATTAACATGTTCTGTAGCCATGTTTCCAAAGATCTCCCCGTTGGACTGAGGGGGAGGAATCCTGTCCGATGGTACCAGGTTGCAAGAAAGGCGTGCTCGCTGCTCCCTGTGTCTGGCGCGAGTGGAGCTGTTGTAAAATGGCGGCCGAAGCTCACGCCGCTGACAGCAAACCCTATCCAGTTCCACTCGTCTCCGAGCGCGCTCCCGGTGCTTGCGCGCGCCCCTGCGTGATCCCCCCCTTTCCTTTCCCTTCCCTCCCCTCCCTCGCGTCCGCTTCACTCACTCACTCCCTCAGCCCCTAACCTCCTCCAGCTCCTCCTTCTAGCCTCCTCCAGCTCCTCCTTCTAACCTCCTCCAGCTCCTCCCTCTCCCTCTCCCCCTACCACCACCCCCACCACCACCCCCACCACCACCACCCTCTGTCTGCCTTCTCTCGGCCTTTCTTATTCCCGCCCCCCCCCCCTTTACCCCACTGTTCCCACTCCCCTCTGCGGTAGCTCAGGCACGAGCAGCCGCCTTTCCCCTTCTGGCTCGCTTGCTCGCACTCTCGACCCAGTACCCCAGTCCCTGCTGAGTCAGCTCCTCTCTCTCTCTCTCCCGCGCTGACGTGACCACGTAGCCTAGGCCTCAGGATGCGCACCCGCGGGCTCAGTCCCCACGCCGCGCTGCCTTCCTCGCTCCTCACCCATTGGGTTGGGGGTGGGGGAGGCACAAGACCCCGCCCTTCCGCTCTGGCAGCGGCTGCGGAGGGATCAATTTTTGTTTTTGTTGTGATTGCTCGTGAAGACTTGGTCATAAATTCTTTGCCTAGGCCAATGTCTAGAAGAGTATTTCGAAGGCTTTTGTCTAGGATTTTTATAGTTTTAAGTCTTACATGTAAGTCTTTAATCCATCTTGAGTTCATTTTTATATCCGGTAAGAGGTAGGGATCCAGTTTCATTCTTCTGCATATGGCCAGCCAGCTATCTCAGCACCATTTATTGAATAGGGAGTCCTCTTTTCCCTATTTTTTAATTTTGTCAACTTTGTCAAAGGTCAGTTGGTTGTAGGTCTGTAGCTTTATTTCTGGGTTCTCTCTTCTGTTCCATTGGTCTATGTGTCTGTTTTGTACCAGTACCATTCTGTTTTGGTTACTGTAGCCTTATAGTATAGTTTGAAGTCAGCCGAGGTGATGCTTCCAGCTTTATTCTTTTTGCTAAGGATTGCTTTGGCTATTTGGGCTCTTTTTTGGTTCCATATGAATTTTAGAATAGTTTTTCCAAATTCTGTGAAAAATAATATTGGTAATTTGATTAAAATAGCATTAAATATGTAGAATTGCTTTAGGCAATATGGCCATTTTAACAATGTCAATCTTCCAATCCATAAGCATGAAATGTTTTTCCATTTGTTTCTATCATCTGTGATTTCCTTCAGCAATGTTTTATAGTTATCCTTGTAGAAATTTTTACCTCCTTGGCTAGATGCATTCCTAGAAATTTTATTCTTTTAGTGGTTATCCTAAATGGGACTGAGCCCTTGATTTGGTTCTTAGCGTGAGCATTATTGGTGTATAGAAATGCTACTGATTTTTGTATGTTGATTTTGTATCCTGATACTTTCCTGAAGTTGTTTATCAGGTCTAGGAGTCTTTTGGCAGAATCTTTAGAGTATTCTAGGTATAGAATTATATCATCAGGTAAGAGACATAATTTGACTTCTGCTTCTCCTATTTGGATGCCTTTTATTTCTATCTCTTATCTGGTCGCTCTGGTTAGGACTTCCAGTACTGTGCTGAATAGAAGCAGTGAGAATGGACATCCTTATCTTGTTTCTGTTCTTAGGGGAAATGCTTCCAGCTTTTGCCTGTTCAGTATAATATTGGCTGTGGGCTTGTCACAGATGGCTCTTATTATTCTGAGGTATGTTACTTCAATTCCTAGTTTGTTAAGGATTTTTATCATAAAGGGATGTTGGATTTTATCTAATGCTTGTTCTGTATCTATTGAGATGATCATATAGTTTTCGTTTTTAATTCTATTTAGTATAAGTTTTCAAATTATGAGTTATCAAAGATAAGAGATAATGATAAATCATTTACCTAATCAGAAAGTGATGTAAGTCTAAACTTACATGCATCTGAAAAACAGAGCACTAGATTATGTAAAGCCAAAAGCATGGAATAAAAACAAAGAGAAATGAAGATTTAAATGCACTCTGTCAGTAATCAGTAAACTATGCAGGAAAAAAAAAGTGTATAGAGTATATTCAATTAACAAGCTTGGTCTAATAGACATATATAGAATCCTGTTAAATACAGATTTATCTCAAGTACATGTGGAACATTTACATAAATTGGCCACGTCCCAGGACCTAAAGCAAGTTCCATTAAGTTTCGCATATATCATATAGGTAATATTCTCTAGCCATTATATAATTAAGTAGAAATGTAGAGAAAAGGAAAACTAAAATGTTTTGCAAATTCAAAAACACATTTCTGAATAATCCATTGTCTAAAAAGGAATTATACTGAAAATCTTAAAATACTTGCAATTAAAAAATAATGAGAAATGAGAATACTACATTCCAAAGTTTGTGGGATGTATCTGTTAAGACAAGAGAATTATTTGCTTGGCTATTATTACTTATCTTACTGATATGGTTTGGATCTGTGTCCCCACCCAAATCTCACATTGAATTATAATCCCCAATGTTGAAATGAGGGCCTGGTGGGAGGTGATTGAATCATGGGGGTAGATTTCTCTTGAATAGTTTAGCACCATCCTCTTGGTGCTATTCTTGTGATAGTGACTGAGTGCTCTTGAGATATGATTATTTAAAAGTGTATAGCTCTTCCCCTTTCACTCTCTCTTCCTTTCGCTCTGGCCATGTGACGTGTCTGCTCCCCGTTCACCTTCCACCATGATTGTAAGTTTCCTGAGGCCTCTCCAGAAGGCAAGCAGATGTCACTATGCTTCCTGTACAGCCTGCAGAAATGAGCCAATTAAACCTCTTTTCTTTATAAATTACCTTGTCTCAGGTATTTCTTTGTAGCAATGTGAGAATGGACTAATATACTTAGAAAGAAGAAAAATGTTAAAAATGAAGATGCTAGGCACCCATCTTTAAAGGTTTAAAAAATAATAAAATAAAAGTAGAAGGAAATAATTAAGCAAAGAGAAGAAACTAATGAAAAATTTTAATGAACATATAATAGAATGGTTTATCAAGAAAAGCAGATTAGGTAAAATAATTCAAAAGTGAAAAGGGTGGCAAACTGTAGGGAAAGAAAAATTACAATAATCACTAAATTATGTAAAATTATATGCTAATAAATTTGAAAACTTATGATAAAATAGACATTTTCTAGGAAAAAATGTAGCTTACCAAAACAGACTCAAGATGTAGAAACAAGAAGAATCCTACGACCAGTAAAGAAACCGAATCAGCAGTTTTTTTTTTTTAATGTACTTATGGGGGAACAAATAAAAACCCATGTCCAGATGGTTTTAGATGCAAGTTGTACAAACAGTTAAGAAATATTTAATTCTACATTATACCAACTCATCCAGGAAATAGAAAAACTGAAAATGATCCCTAATTATTTTTATAATATTATCACAGACTTGAAACCAAAATCAGACATGGAAAGTAAAAGAAAGGAAAATTACAGGAGTGCCTCCCTTATGAACATCAGTGCAAAAATCTTAAGTACAAGGTTCAGATTAATACATACGATTCATTCACAACAGATATATCATGACCAAACTATATATGAAAGAATGGTTTAACCTTTTAAAATAGAGTGGGTTATAACTCATTATATTAACAGGTATTAACAGAACCCCGTATGATCATTACAATGAGTTTTGTTGAATGCCTTTTTGAGTATAAGACCTATTTATGATTTTTAAAGTAAATAAATAAAAGCTCTTAAATAAAAAGAAATTAAATGGAACCAACCACTGATTAGAATCTCCCCAAAATCTGCAGCAAACATTATACTTAAAGGTGATATGCTGGGAAACATTTCCTCTAAAATCGGAACCAAATCAAGTGAGCTACTATCACAGTTTCTGTCCAACCTTGTACAGAAAAAGAAATTAAAAGTATAAGTATTGAACAAACTGCACACTGTATGCAGAGGTCGTTAGCAAAAGAAAGAGGGTTGAAAGAGAGAGGAAAGAAAGAGGGAGGGAGGAAGGAAGGAAGGAGAAAAGAAAGGAAAGGAAAGAGAAAAAAGAGAAAGAGAGGGAGGAAAGAGAGAGGCAGGAAAGAAAGGGAGGAAAAGAGGGAGGAAAGAAAGAGGAAGGAAAAGGAAGGAAGGAAGAGGGAGGGAGGGAAAGAGGGAGGAAGGAAGGAAAGAAAGAGAAAGAGGAGGAAAGAGAGAGGGAGGAAAGAAAGGAAAGAAGGAGGGAGGGAAGGAGAAAGGAAGGAGAAAGGAAAGGAAAGAAAAAAGGGAGGAAAGAGAGAGGGAGGAAAGAAAGAGGGAGGAAAGAAAAGGAAGAGGGAAAGGAGGGAGGAAGGAAGGAAAGAAAGAGAAGAGGAAAGAGAGAAAGGAAAGAAAGAGGGAGGAAAGGAAGGAAGGAAAGAGGGAGGAAAAGGGAGGAAGGAAACATGGAGGAAGAAAAGGAAGGAAAGAAAGGGAGGGAAGGAAGGAAGGAAGAAAGGAAGGAAGGAAGGAAAAGAAAATTGTCCTTATTAGCAGACTGTATGACAAGAGTACTTAATCATATAGTATTGTCAATTACTATGTATCAAATTACCCCAAAATTTAACAGCTTAAAATAACAAATCTTTGGAGGACATCAGTAAGATTGTGGAGTAGGAGATTCTAGCCTTCAACATCCCCAAAAAATAACAATTAAGGCAGGTATCCCTGAACAAAAAATAGCTCTGGGAGAGTTCAAGAGTGCAGTTAAAAAGCTACAGCAGCACACTGGAGAAAAAGAAAATTGAGTAACCACACAAAAAAGGTAAGAAGAACAGTTTCATTTTTCCTACATCAGCCCATCCCCAGGGAAGGACAGCTAAGTAGCAAAAGAGATCTCTTCAACCCATGAATTTCTCTCATGAGAAAAAAACAAGCAAGATAAGGAATCAGCTTCCCCAGTCTTTCAAGGTACTTCCTAAAAAACTTACTTTGGTTTCACTCCACTCAGATTTCTGAGATCAGTGTACCAAGATATCTGGAGATGGCTAGAAACAAAGAAGGGTGGTACTATCAGTATTACCCACACACAGAAGCCATGGCGGTCCCCAGTGGCCTGTTGTCCCAATACTGCCAAAGAAACCAATAGCCATCATAGCAGCCACAGACATCCCACAG
This sequence comes from Homo sapiens, assembly GCF_000001405.40. Classification (NCBI taxonomy): domain Eukaryota; kingdom Metazoa; phylum Chordata; class Mammalia; order Primates; family Hominidae; genus Homo; species Homo sapiens. The sequence goes on along the minus strand of NC_000020.11, from coordinate 6,208,411 downwards.
CTTTTGCTGATGAGGGCAGTACAGTTTTTGCCATTGAAGACCATGGCTGCCTCAGCTGCAGTTCCCTACGTCCCACCACTGGAGCCATTCCAGCCAGTGTGGCCATGGTCACCCCAGTCCTGAGATTCAATGCAACCACCTTGTGTGCATATGTAGCCAACCTCAATCGCCACTGCCAGTCCCCACCACCACATATGTGCTTGCAGCCAGCCTCCACAGCTGAGCATACACATGCCACTGGCCCCATACCCCAAAACCAGCACACAACCACCAACACTGGCCCATGCCACCACCTACCCTGACCCTCCTACATATGCTTGCCACTGTAACAAGAGGCACTACTGAGGACTCCAACAGCCTTTACAATCACTGTTGACTCCCTTGAAGCTTTTGATGCCAAGGACTACAAAGTTTCCCATATCACAGACCCCTGCTACCTGAGACACCAACCACCAAGTTCCCTTGGACACAGAGCTTCTGCATACCTCCAAATTGGAACACCATGCACCACTGGATCTGGTGTACCATAGCACACTCCAGCATGCCTTCCCATGCCCAGTTCCAGGAATCCCATGCTCCCTCTCCCCTGCAAGTGAAAGTCTTTCCTTACCAATGCCAGTCTATAAGTCTAGAAGAGGTGATTATTTATTTAAATGCACAAATACCAATGAAAGCATAAAAGAAACAAGAAAAATCAGGAAAACAACACCAACAAAAATATTAACTTCCAGTGCCTGACCCCAAAGAAAGGAAAATCCATGAATTGTGCAACAAAAAATTCAAAATAATTGTTCTAAAGAAGCTCTGTGAGCCCGAAAGAACATAGATAAACAAATTTAACAAAAAACAATTAGGAAAACAAGGCAATAACAAAATGAGAAATTCAACAAAGAAATAGAAAACATTTTTTAAAACTAGAAATGATGGAGGCTAAAGAATACAATGGCTGAACTAAAAATGCAATGGAGAGCTACAATAGCAGACTGGATCAAGCAGATGAAGGAATCCATGAACTGGAAGAGAGATCATCTGAAATTATTCAATTAGGGGAGAAAATATTGAAACAATGAAAAGAGTGAAAAAGACTATGAGATTTATGGAAACAATATACATCTTGTGAAGTGAACCAATATACATATTATAGGAGTTACCAAAAAAGAAAGTGCAAGAAAGTATATTTAAAGAAATAATAGAAAACTTTACAAATCTGGGAAAGGAAATAGACATTCAGACTCAAGAAGTATATAGGACTCCAAATAGGTTTAATACAAAAAGATCTATACCAAGATTAGCAGATTTCTCGACATAAAACTTACAGACAAGAAGACAGTAACATTATATATTCCAATTACAGAGGGAGCAAGCTGTAATGTTGAACATTCTGTAAGAAGAAAAATATTCTGGAGCCATGTACACACTACAAATAACAACCTAATCCTTAAGTGAGGAGGAATCGAGAAATAATAATGTATATTCCTCTTCTTTGTCCAAAAAGAAAGAGGAAAAATAATTGCCAACATAGAATATTTTACTCTGCAAAGCTATCTTTTAAAAATGTAGGAGACATTAAGTCTTTCCAGGACCAAAAAAAACCTGGATGGTTTGTTACCACTAGACCTTCCTTAAAAGAAATGCCAAAGGGAGTTCTTCAAATGGAATTGAAAACACACTAAACAACAATGTGAAATCATATAAAAGTATAAATTACACCAGTAAAAGTAAAAATAAAGTCAAATACAGAATAATATAACATTGTAATGGTGGTATGCAAAGTACCTATAAGCCTAACGTAACAGTTAAAAGACAAAAATATTAAGAGTAACTATAGGCCAGACGCCGTGGCTCACGCCTGTAATTCCAGCACTTTGGGAGGCCAAGGTGGGTGGATCACGAGGTCAGGAGATCGAGAACATCCTGGCTAACACGGTGAAACCCTGTCTCTACTAAAAATACAAAAAATTAGCCAGGCATGGTGGCGGGCACCTGTAGTCCCAGCAACTTGGGAGGCTGAGGCAGGAGAATGGCGTGAACCCTGGAGGTGGAGCTTGCAGTGAGTCGAGATTGCGCCACTGCACTCCAGCCTGGGCGACAGAGTGAGACTCCGTCTCAAAAAAAAAAAAAAAAAAAAAAAAAAAAGCAACTATAAACAGAAAAATTCGGTAACATGTATGTTCTCACTCTTATTTAGAAGCTAAAAATGTTGATCTCATAGAAGTGGAGAGTAGAATAGTAGTTACTAGGGGCTGAGATGAATGAGAGGAATAGGTAGGGATCTATTAGATTATACAAAATTTGCAGCTAGATAGCAGGAACAAGTTCCAGTGTTTTATAGCACTGTGGGGTGACTACAGCTAACAATAATTTATTATACATTTTCAAATATCTAGAAGAGAGGATTTTGAATGTTCTCAACACAAATGATAAATGTTTGAGGTGATGAATATGCTGATTACCCTGATTTGATCACTATACACTGCATATATTAAAATATCACTATGTATTCCATAAATATGTACAATTTTGTGTTGATTAAAAACACATTTTTTAAAAAATTGTGAACAGACTCATAATATAAAAATTCTGACTTCAAGAACACAAAGTGTATGTGTGGAAGGGGATAAAGTGCAGAATTTTTGTATGCAATTGAACTTGAGTTGTTATCAAATTAAAATAGATGCTTATAACTACAAGAAGAATTACACAAGCCCCATGTTAACCACAAAAGAAAAGTCTATAATAGATACACAAAAAGACAAGGAGAAAGGAACCAAACCAAACTGCTACAAAAAAAAAAAAAATCAGACAACAAAAGGAGATAACAAAAGAGAGAAAGTTACAAAAGAACTGCAAAACAGACCGCAATTAACAAAATTGTAAGTTCTTACATATCAACAATCACTTTAAATGTAAATGGATTAAATTCTCCAATGTAAAGGCATAGAGTTGCTGAGTGGATTAAAAAACATGATCCAGTGACTTAGTGTCTATAAACGATTCACTTTAAATGTGAGGACACACATAGCCTGAAAGTGAAGGGATAGAAAAAGATATTCTATACAAATGGCAACCAAAAGAAAGCAGGGAGAGCTATACTTAGACAAAAGATTTTAAGTCAAAAATTGGCAAAGATCATTATATAATGATTAAAAAAGTCAATTCAAGAGGAAGATATAATTGTAAATATATATGCACCTAACATCAGAGCAACTAAATATATAAAACAAATATTGGTATATCTGAAGGAAGAAACTGACAACAATACAATAATAATTGAAGACTTCAATACTCCACTTTCAATAATGGATAGAACATCTAGGCTGAAAAACTATAAGGAAACCACTGACTTGAGTAACACTATGAATCAAATGGACAATAGACATAGACAGAATTTTCCACCCAATAGCAGCAGAATGCATATTATTTTCAGGGGCACACAGAATATTCTCCAGAATAGGCCATACGTTGTGTCTTAAAACAAGTCTTTAAAAATTTAAAAAGATTTTAATTATATCAAGTATCTTGCAGACCACAGTGGAATGAAACTAGAAATCAATAATATCAAGAAAACAAGAAAATTCACACAAGAACAAGAAAACTAAACCCCACACACTTGAACAACCATTGAATAAGAGAATAAAGCAAACAGAAATTTTAAAATTACCGTGAAAAAAATGAAGACAAAACACATCTTACCAAAGTGTATGGTATGCAGCAAAGGCAGCATTAAGACAAAATCTTATAGTGTTAAGTGCCTACCTTAAAAAAGAAGAAATATCTCAATTAAACAACTTAACTTTACAACTCAAGGAACTAAAAGTAGAAAAACAAACTAAACTCAAAGTTAGCAGATGGAAGGAAATAATAAAGATTGAAGCAAAAATAAGCAAAAAATAGGAAAAAATAAAATTAAGAATTGGTTTTATTTGAGAAGATGAAATTATCCAACCCTTTGCTAGCCTAATACAAAACAGAAAGAGAAGACTTAAATACAATCAGAAGTTTTTTAGAAAGGAGACATTACAATAGATGACACAAAAACAAAAAGAATCACAGAGACTACTGTGAACAATTATATACCAACAAATTGGATAACCTAGAAGAAATGCATTAATTCTTAAAAGCACACAAGCTATCAAGACTGAATCAAGAACTAGAAAGACAAATTGACCAATAACAAGCAAGGAGATTGAATCAGTCATCAAAAACTTTCCAACAAAGAAAAGCCCAGGTCAAGATGGTTTCATAAATGAGTTCTATCAAACATTTTAAAAATAGCTAATACTAACCATTCTTAAACTATTCCAAAAATAGAAGATGGAACACTCCCAAACTCATTTTATAAGAACAACATCACCCTGATTCCAAAGCCAGAAAAAAACAACAGCAACAACAACAACAATACAAGAAAAGGAAAGTGCAGGCCACTATCCCTGGTGAATATACATGTAAAAATATTTAATAAGCTGCTAGCAAACTGAATTTAACAGCACATTAAAAGGATCACACACTATAATGAAGTGGGATCTATTCCTGGGATGCAAAGCTGGTTTAACATGAAAATCAATCAGTGTGACACACCATGTTAACAAAATGAAAGACAAAAACCACATAATCACCTTAATAGATGCACAAAACGCATTTGACAAAATTCAACATCTTTTCATGGTAAAGACTCTCAACCAAATAGGTACAGGAGGAGCTTTCCTTAACACAATAAAAACTATATATGAAAAAACTACAGTTAAAGTCGTAATCACTGGGGAAAACAAGCTTTTCCTCTAAGATCCAGAGCAAGATAAGGATGCCCACTCTTGCCACTGCTATTCAACATAGTATTGGAAGTCCTGGCTGGAGCAATCAGGCAAGAAAATGAAATAAAAAGGCATACAAATCAGAAAGGAAGAAATAAAATTATCTCTGTTTAAAGATGACATGATCATATACATAGAAAACTCTAAACACTCTACACCAAAAAAAAAAAAAACTGTTGGAACAACCAATAAGCAAATTCAGTAAAGTTGCAGGGTACAAAATCAACATACAAAAATTAGTGGCATTTCCATACACCAACAGTGAAATATCTAAAAAGAAAATTAGGAAAACAATCTCATTTACATTAGCAACAAAATGGAATATCTAAGAATTAACTTAAGCAGGTAAAAGACTTGTATACTGAAAATTACAAAACCTTGACAAAGTTTTAAAAGACACAAATAAACAGATATCTCATGTTCATTGATTAAAAGACTTAATATTGTTAAAAATGTCCATATTACCCTAAGCTATCTACAGATTTAGTGCAATCCCTATCGAAATCCCAAGGGCAGAAATAGAAACAAACAATCCTTAAATTTATATGGATCCCAAATAGCCAAAGTGCCATGGTTTGGACATTTGTTCCCTCCAAATCTCATGTTGAAATGTAATCCCCAGTGCTGGAGGTGAGGCCTGATGGGAGATGTGTGTGTCATGACGACTGATCCCTCATGAATGGTTTGGTGCCATCCTCACAGTAATTAGTGAGTTTGTGCTCTGAGTTTGTGCAAGATCTGGTTGTTTAAAAGTGTGGCCAATGGATATAGTATGCAGCATTTTTCAAACACATTTAACCATAGGGCCCTTGTGCACTAGCACTTCACATTACACACTTCTGTAAACACTGCACCTACCATCATTGAGCAATGCCCTGCCAGCTCAATGCCTGTGCAGGTCTGTGATGTGCTGCTGTCTAAATTTCAGCATGGCTTCTCATAGACAGTGGGTTTAGGGGCTAAGGGTTAGAGCTCAGCCTCCTGAATTGCAGCATCCTGAGTCTTTCTTACTTGTCCCTCCTGCAGAAAGGGCATTTACCATGCCATTGGAGTGTATTTTCCTCTCAGGTCATCACTGAAGACATAACAATTGCTTATGTAGGATGATGATGCAGATCAAGTAATTGGCCATGATGATCACTGCTAACAAGCTAAACATCCAAAGGAACGTGGCTGGCAAGAACAAAGAGACAGCTCTTCCAAATGTTCTACATTACGTACCCCCTTGTTACAACTTATTTTCATGTTTGGCCATGAGTTAATATGAATTCTAGAAAGTCTTGAATGAGTCCCAGGAAGAACAATAAAAATGATTATCAAGGAGAATAAACTAAGCTGTGCTTGGATCTGTCACTGCTTCAGTGTCCCTGTTGGGCTTTCTAGCAGTGGCCTAAGTAGAGAAATAAAAGATGTCTGAATACACTAGGGTAAGTGAAGTTGAGAATAAGGAGCTCGTTGAAATATCATCAGAAGACAATGGGGTGGTGCTGCTGTCCACAGTTACAGCCCAGTTTCCAGGGGCATGTGGACTTCACTACAAGAATCCAGTGTCTCAGTGTATGAGAGGTATCCAGCTGGTAGAAGGAATTCTGCATGCCCTGATGCTGACTGTGGAAATCTGGTATATGTTGTCAACTGTCCCAAAGATAACAAAAGAAAAATGGGTGAGACGGCAGTGAAAGTGAAGAGCAGTCCAGAAAATATCTTATTTAATAGCGTTGGTAATTAGTGAGTTTTTGCTCTCAGTTTGTTTTTCCTCCTATGGAAACAGGATCTGAAAGAATATTTTAGTACCTCTGGAGAAGTCCAAGTCAAGATAGATATTAAAACTGGTCAAAAGGGTTTGGCTTTGTTCATTTTATGGAGTATGAAAGACACGTGAAAGTAATGTCACAGTGACATATGATAGATGGATGATGGTATGACTGTAAATTTCCCAACTCTAAGCAAAGCCCAGATGAGCCTTTGAGAAGCAGAGAAGTGTTTGTGGGGCGCTGTACAGAGGACATGACTGCAGATGAGCTATGGCAGTTTTTCTGTCAGTACAAAGAAGTGGTGGATGTCTTCATCCCCAAGCCATTCAGGGCCTTTGCCTTTGTTACATTTGCAGTTGATCAGATTGCCCAATCTCTTTGTGGAGAGGACTTGATCATTAAAGGACTCAGCATGCATATATCCAGTGCCAAACCTAATCACACGACAGCAATAGATAGAAAGAAGTGGAAGATTTGGGAATCTGAGTGGATTTGGTAACAGTAGAGGGGTGGATCTGGCTTGGAAAACAATCGAGGTACCAATACAGGTGGTAGATGAATTTTGGTGTGCTCAGCATTAATCCAGCCATGATGGCTGCAGCCCAGGCAGCGCTGCAGAGCAGTTGGGGTAGGATGAGCATGTTAGCCAGCCAGCAGAACCAGTCAGGCCCATCAGGTAATAACCAAAGTCAAGGCAACATGCAAAGGGAGCCAAACCAGGTCTTTGGTTCTAGAAATAACTCTTACAGTGGTTCTAATTCTGGTGCAGCAATTGGTTGGGAATCAGCATCAGGCAATGGTTTTAATGGAGGCTCTGGCTCAAGCATGGATTCTCAATCTTCTGGCTGGGAAATGTAGACTTTGGGTTATGGTTTGTTGGTACGGAATGTACATGGTAAGATACAAAACTTTTCAAAATTGGTTTGTTCAGTGTGGAGTATATTCAGCAGTATTTTTGACATTTTTCTTTAGAAAAAGAGGAAGAGATAAAGGAATTGTATAAGTTTTGTGACGTAGAGTTACATGAAGAGTTGAATACATTAAGAGTTGAGTTACACAAAGAGTTGAATAAATAAAGAGTTGAAATATTGAGTGGTTAAAAGCAAATGGCTGTTTGTCTGTTGGAAAATCAACACATTACAATTGATATCTGTAATATTTTATCCCTGGACTTCTCAAGTGAACTCTTTGCGTGCTCAAAATGGAAAACATTGATGAGAACTACATTCTTTTCTCCTTGTCTTCATTTGAACCCCACCATATGATTTTTTTTCCTTAATAAAATCTCCTTTTGGGAGATCATGGTGTCACAGTGTTTGATTCTTTTGTTTTGTTTTTTAACACTTGTCACTCCACCCACCTGATATAGAAAAGTACGATATGAAGCCTTCATTTAATCTCTGCAGTGCATCTCATTTCAAACGTTTACAGAAGCACTTCATTGAAAGTAGCGCTGTAAATATCCTGCCATAGAAATACTTCTGTCTACATGCTTTCTCATTCAAGAATTCGTCATCACACTTCACAGGCTGCATCTTTGACAGTGGGTGTTCCCATTTTGATTCACTATGCTTTATTTCATGGAGTCTTATCAACGTCATGAACACAAGGCTGTGATATGGAACCAGAGGCTGTCTGAACTTTTGAAACTTTGTGTGGAATTGGTGGTGCTGCCAAGGCATGGAAGGCTAGTATGAGTGAGAGAAGGAGAGAGTGCAGGTAGAGAGTTGATGGTGCATCATGAATATTTTTTAACTTGTTGAGATGTGTCTCTCAATCCTGTAATTTTGGTGAGAGAGTATACAGACAACAATAATAAACAATGTATGAATGTCTTTTGTATTCAAAGGACATCCACATGTGTTGGAAGACTTTCAGTGAGCTTTGTTCTTAGGCAACCTACATTAGTTGAATGTGTTAAGTGAAACGATACTTGTATTTTCCTACCCTTTTGTCAACTGCTGTGAATGCTGTATGGTGTGTGTTCTCTTCTGTTACTGATACATAAGTGTGGTAATGTGAACTGAAGCTGATGAGTTGAGAATATAAACTGAGCTTGTGGTATGCTTTGAAGGAGTACTTGGAAGCAGAGTTCACAGTGAGTTCAGGTGTCTCAAAGAAGGGTGGAAGTTCTAATGTCTGTTAGCTACCCGTAAGAATGCTGTTTGCTACAGTTCTGTGCCCTGTGCTTGGATGCTTTTTATAAGAGTTGTCAATGCTGGAAATTCTTAAATAAAGCTGATTTCAATTTTTAAAAATGATTATCAGGATCAAAACAGGATATGTGATAAAAGGTTCAATGATTTGGGTTATTTTTGGCCATTAGGTGACACAACACTGACTGTCACTCACTATATAAGCCTCCTATCTTATGTATTAGATTTTATGAAAATGATACTAATTAGCTTCTCACATCTTCAGAGTACCACAAAAGTTAAAAAGGACTTAAAGGCGATTTTACGAATATGTGAGAACATATTGATCATTAGGTTGATAAAACCTGTTTTATTAAATCAGTGCATTTGGAGATTCTGATTTTGACATCTAAGAGGGAACTGATGTATTGATTTTCCTTGAGAGCCAGGTCTTTATTTGCACTTGTTGGGGGCTGGACCAGGTAATTGCCTGAAATTCTTCCTCAGTTTCTGTTTATCTTCAATCCCAGCAAATCGCCCTCAAAATTTAATTCTATGGAGAAACTTATGTAGATTATCTCACCTGGCTCTAGTGATCTCAGTGATATCACCAACTGGTATTGTCATATGTGTTTCCAATGGTATAGTCAATCATGAAATTGTATTTTGATTGTACATGTTTTATATGATCCTCATGATGCTTGTCCTTTTCTGGAGAGCATAGAACATAGGTTGTGTGTTTTCACAGATCTGGTGCATAAAGTGATAGTAAATCAACATTATTGCTGAAAAAAATATAAAATAATAAAAGAGTATGACACCTCCAGCCCCCCTGCTCCCTTCTCTCTTACTCCCACTCTCACCATATGATACCCTGGCTCCCCCTTTGCTTTCTACCATGATTGTAGGATTCCTGAGGCCTTCACCAGGAGCAGATGCTGCTGTGCTTCCTCTACAGCCTGCAGAACTGTGAGCCAATTAAACTTCTTTCTTTATAAATTACCCAGTCTCAGGCATTCCTTAATGGCAACAAAAACAGACGAACACACAAAGCAATCTTGAGGGGAAAGAAAAAAGCTGGAGGCATCACACTTCCTGACATCAATTATATTACAAAGCTATAGTAATTGAAATAGTATGGGACTGGCATAAAGCAGACATATCAACTAATGAATCAGAAGAGAGAGCCCAGAAATAAACCTACACATTTATGGTCAAATTATCTTCAACAAGGGTTCCAAGAACACACAATGGGGAAAATAATAGTCTCTTCCAAAATGTTGGGAAAACTGGATATCAACATGCAAAAGAATGACAATGCACCCTTATCTTACACTATACACAAAGATCAAATCAATGGATTAAAGACTTAAGTGTAAAGCTTGATACCATAAAACCCTTTTTAAAAAAATGGGGAAAAGGCCAGGTATGGTGGCTTATGCCTGTAATCCCAGCACTTTGAGAGGTCAAGGCAGGAGGATCACCTGAGGTCAGGAGTTTGAGATCAGCCTGGCCAACATGGTGAAACCCCGTCTCTACTAAAAATACAAAAAAAAAAAATTATCCGGGTGTGGTTGTGGGCACCTGTAATCCCAGCTACTTGGGAGGCTGAGGCAGGAGAATCACTTGAACTCAGGAGGCAGAGGTTGCAGTGAGCCGAGATCGCACCATTGCACTCCAGCCTGGGCAACAAGAGCAAAACTCTGTCTCAAAAAAAAAAAAAAAAGGAGGAAGAACCTTTTTGACATTAGTCCTGATAATAATTTTTTAAACGTGACACCTAAAGCACAGGCAACAAAAGCAAAACTAGACAAGAAGGACAACATCAAACCAAAAAACTTCTGCACAGCAAAGGAAACAACCAACAGAGTGAAAAGGCAACCTACAGAACTAGAGGAAATATTTACAAACTATATATCTGATAAGGGGTTGATGTCCAATATATATAAGGAGCGCCTACAACTCAATAGCAAACAAACAAATAACCTGAGTAAACAACAGGCAAAGGACCAAAATAGATGTTTCTCAAAAAAAGAAATTCAAGTAGCCAACAGGTATATGAAAAGGTGCTGGATATCTCTAATCATCATGGAAATGCAAATCAAAACTACAGTAAGGTATCGTATAACACCTCTTAGGATATGTTTTCAAAAAAAAACAAAAAGATAACAAGTGTTAGTAAGGATGTGGAGAAAAAGGAACCCTTGTACACTGTTGATGAGAATGTAAACTAGTACAGCCATTATGAAAAACAGTATGGAGATCCCTCAAAAAATTAAAAGTAGAATTGCCATATGTTCCAGCAATCCCACTTCTGGGTATATATCTAAAGGAAATAAAATCAGTATGTCAAAGAGCTATCTGCACTCCAAAGTTCATTGCAGCATCAGTCACAATAACCATAACATAGAAACAACCTAAATGTTCTTTGACAAATGAGTGGATAAGGAAAATGTGGTTTATATACACAATGAAATATGATTCTACCTGAAAAAAAGAAGGAAATCCTACCATTTGCAACAACATAGATGGAACTGAGGGACATTATGCCAAGCGAAATAAGTGAGATATAGAAAGAGAAATACTATATGACCTCACTTACATTTGGAATCTAAAATAAACTCGTAGAAGCTGAAAGTAGGGTGGTGGTTGCCAGAGACTTGGGGGAGGGCAAAATGGGGTTATGTTGCCCAAAGTGTACAAAGCTTCAGTTATGCAAGATGAGTAAGTTTTGGATATTTAATGTACATCATGGTGACAATAGGAGTAATACTGTACTGCATACTTGAAATTTGCTAAACTGATAGATTTTAAAGTAAATCTTAACACACACATACACAAAACAAAAATGGCAACAGTAGAGGTGACTAATTGGCTGGAAGGCGGGGATCATTTCACGATGCATGCATATATCAATACATCGAATTGTACAGCTTAAGTACATAAAATTTTATGTCAATAATATTCCAATAAAGCTATTGAAGGAGAGAGAAAAACAAATGAGGAAAAAATAGGCTTTCTTTGGTCAATAATTTTTTTCAAGAATTATATCTTACTGAGTGTAAAGTGAGCTTCCTATAAAGTTGAAAGAAAGTTAAAAGTTGTTACTGTGTTTGCAAATCTAAGTCTTGGCCTGAGGATGGAGAGTAATTGAGACATTAAAGATGAAAGAATTGCTAAGAGCTTCAAAGGAAACAAGCAAATAAAACAGAAAACAGAGGAAACAATTATTAGCTCTAGGAAAAGCAAAAGGTTACATAGGAAAATAAGTTTCTTCTTAGTACACTATGTGACTTGGCTGTGAATAATATTTATATAGTTAGAATAAAATATATGTTGAATTTTTCCTGCCCAAAAAAAGATCTTTATTACTTCAAATAGCTTCTGAGGGTCAGGAATCTAGAAGCAGCTTAAAGGCTCCAGGTCTCTCAGGAGGTTGTAGTTGAAATGTCTGCTGAGGCTGCAGTCTCCTGAAAGGCTGACTGGGACGGGAGGATGCATTTTCAAGATGGCTTGCTCCCATGGCTGTCGGGAGAACACCTCACTTCCTCCCACTTTTGGCAGGTGGCCTCAGTTCCTCACCACATGAGGCTTTCCACAAGGCTGCCTGAATGTCCTCATGACATGGCAGCTGGCTCCCCTCTGAGTGAGCCATTAGACAAAGAGACAGAGACAGAGGGCCAAATGGAAGCTGCAGTGTCTTTTACAACCAAATCTCAGAAGTGACACACCATCATTTCCACGTTTTCTATTTGTTAAAACTATGTTCCTAAATCTAACCCACACTCAAGGGAGAGTGATTAGGCTCCACCTCTTGAATTGAGAAGTATCAAAAAATTTGTGGACTTTTTAAAATCAGTACAACTACTGAGGTAGAGAATCCAAAAGAATATGCATATAATTTATCATAATTAATTAGAAAGTTTAGTAAGGTTGCCAAAAACAGAATCAATATATAAAATCAATCGTATTTTTATGCAGCCATAAGAGTTAGGAAATGGGATTTTTTAAACAAGATACAAAATTAATAGGAAGATAAGATTTTTTAAAGTCAAATTAATCTATAAATTTTTGTCATACTTGATACACTGATTCTAAATTTCATAGAAAAGGCAAAAAAATCGAGAAATATTTAAATATAAGTAAAGAAACTTGCCTTACCAAATATAAAGATTTTAAAGCTACAGAAATCTAGAAAGTATTTGATACAAAGATGGATAAACTGATTATTGCTCAAAACAGAGAACCCAAAAATGGACCCAAACATACATAGACACTTAATATTTGATAGAAAGGGCATTGCAGACCTATAAAAATAGGCTATTTGATAATTCCTGGGATAATTAGTTGTCCAAATTTTTTAAGCACATTAGATTTTCACCTCATACAAAATGAATTCCAGCTGAGCTAAAGACATAAATACAAAACTCAAAACTTTTTAAAAATTAGAATAAAATGTGTAGGAGAATGTCTATGACCTTGAAGTAGGGAAGGATCTCTTTAAATAAGACATGCAAAAGCAAAATACAGATAACAAAAGATTGAAAAATTTACTGCACTAATTTATTTAATTCATCTCTCATGAAAATCAACATAGGAAAAGAAATGACAAGCCACAATCTAGAAAAAGTTCTTTTCCATATATAACACCAACAAAGGATTAGTACTCAGAATATATGTAGCACTTTTACTGAAAAAAGAGAAGCAATCCAATGGAAAATGGGCAAAAGGTATTAATAGGCAATTCACAGAAGGAAAAAAATAAATATACAATAAATATATGAAGGTATTCTCAGTCTCACTGAGAATAATCAGGGAAATTCAAAATAAAACCAAAATGAGTTACCATCTCCACACTCGTCAAATCGGAAAAAATGTGAACCTAATATTTCAAATGTTCAGCAGAATTCAGAAAAACAGAAATGTATATATACTGCTGATAGGAATATAAACTGGTAAAACTATTTTTGGAAAACAATTTGGCAAAATGTCATACAAGACTACTTCCTGTATTCCTCTATGATCACTTAATAATTATGGAGTCTTAGGGAGATGGGGGCATCTCACAGGATTTCCAACTTTCTGTAAGTTAAAGGATGAGTAGAGGAAGTATAATGAGACAAACTGAGACAGCATGAGACAGACAGAGTTTCAGATACCTGTAGAACATTCAGCTGTCGATACCAACAGGCGGATGAACATGTTTCTGGAACTGAGGGAAGATGTCTGTACCATGGACAAAGATTTGGGGTCTTTAGTATGTAGGCTGAAGGAAACATAAAATGGAAGATCATAAGCCTAAATGCCCAAGAATGCATTTGTTTCACATGTGCATTATCTTAAAAGACAGGTGTTAAGCTAAGTCACTACTGGCTCCTGCTGATTTAAACACACTTGTTTCACCTGCTTGGGGTTAAGTTGGGAATTCTGATGTGGGTGATACAAGGAGTCATGCATCTGTTTAGACCACCAGGTGACCCCAAGTGCTTGGACTTGAACATTTAATTTTATAATACTCTCGGCTGGGCACAGTGACTCACGCCTGTAATCCCAGCACTTTGGGAGGCCAAGGCAGGTGGATTACCTGAGGTCAGGAGTTCAAGACCAGCCTGGCCAACGTGGTGAAACCCCAACTCTACTGAAAATACTATATATATTATATATATAGCCAGGCACTGTGGTTCATGCCTGTAGTCCCAGCTACTCGGCAGGCTGAGGCAGGAGAATCGCTTGAACCTGGGAGGTGGAGGTTGCAGTAAACCGAGGTCACACCACTACGTCCAGCCTGGGCAACACAGAGAGACTCTGTCTCAAAAAAAAAAAAAAAATTATTACTCCCATGACCTGCGAAAATAGACTACAATGTATATTAATTATCCTTCTGTGCTCATTCAAAATCTCATGCATTGGATACAATACATCAGATTTCCTTCTAAGAGAATTTTAGGGACTTTTGCAAATAGCCTGTTATGCTACCTGTGTATTACAGGACCAATATAGGGTTAAATCAGTAACTGACAAAGTATAGAATGCTACATCTTCTTACTTTGATGCCATTCTTATTAAAGTTTTGGCCTCTGTTTGGTATGCAATAAGAAAAGGAGTAGTGGAAAAAGAATTTGATTTGGATTCAGGATTAAGATTTAGTGAATGGGACATGCTTAATTTTGGAGCTGAGCAGGGCCAATATAAACTTTTCAGCAAATTCTAGCATTGTAGGGACAGTGCTTGAAGAATAAAAGGTAATAATTTAGGGCTAATAAAATAATATTAAAATTGATGTTATTCATATGGACATTGGGACCAATAAAGGATATTATGTTTAAAAGCACCATACAACTTCCCTACCTTTGCCTGGTTTCTAAGACTTGGAATTAAATTTCCACTTTGAACTACCTATGTCAGCTGTCTCCTTTTAGGGTCAAGTGAAAACAAAAGTAACATCTCAACCACCTGCCTCCTAAACAAGAAAAGATTCAGGATTTCATTCAAAAGGAAACTTATTCAGAAGAACAATGTCAGCCTTGGGTAAGGTCCCAGTTTCTTGGCTGGCAGTTCAGGCCTCCCCAATTCTCCAGTTTCTGTCCCTGACGCACTAACATCACTAATGTGCATTTTTTTTAAGTTTTTTTTTCTTTTATTATTATACTTTAAGTTTTAGGGTACATGTGCACATTGTGCAGGTTAGTTACATATGTATACATGTGCCATGCTGGTGCGCTAAACCCACTAACTTGTCATCTAGCATTAGGTATATCTCCCAGTGCTATCCCTCCCCCCTCCCCCCACCCCACAACAGTCCCCAGAGTGTGATGTTCCCCTTCCTGTGTCCATGTGATCTCATTGTTCAATTCCCACCTATGAGTGAGAACATGCGGTGTTTGGTTTTTTGTTCTTGCAACAGTTTACTGAGAATGATGATTTCCAATTTCATCCATGTCCCTACAAAGGACATGAGCTCATAATTTTTATGGCTGCATAGTATTCCATGGTGTATATGTGTCACATTTTCTTAATCCAGTCTATCATTGTTGGACATTTGGGTTGGTTCCAAGTCTTTGCTGTTGTGAATAATGCCTCAATAAACATATGTGTGCATGTGTCTTTATAGCAGCATGATTTATAGTCATTTGGGTATATACCCAGTAATGGGATGGCTGGGTCAAATGGTATTTCTAGTTCTAGATCCCTGAGGAATCGCCACACTGACTTCCACAATGGTTGAACTAGTTTACAGTCCCACCAACAGTGTAAAAGTGTTCCTCTTTCTCCACATCCTCTCCAGCACCTGTTGTTTCCTGACTTTTTAATGATAGCCATTCTAACTGGTGTGAGATGGTATCTCATTGTGGTTTTGATTTGCATTTCTCTGATGGCCAGTGATGATGAGCATTTTTTCATGTGTCTTTTGGCTGCATAAATGTCTTCTTTTGAGAAGTGTCTGTTCATGTCCTTTGCCCACTTTCTGATGGGGTTGTTTGTTTTTTTCTTGTAAATTTGTTCGAGTTCATTGTAGATTCTGGATATTAGCCCTTTGTCAGATGAGTAGGTGGTGAAAATTTTCTCCCATTTTGTAGGTTGCCTGTTCACTCTGATGGTAGTTTCTTTTGCTGTGCAGAAGCTCTTTAGTTTAATTAGATCCCATTTGTCAATTTTGTCTTTTGTTGCCATTGCTTTTGGTGTTTTAGACATGAAGTCCTTGCCCATGCCTATGTCCTGAATGGTAATGCCTAGGTTTTCTTCTAGGGTTTTTATGGTTTTAGGTCTAACGTTTAAGTCTTTAATCCATCTTGAATTGATTTTTGTATAAGGTGTAAGGAAGAGATCCAGTTTCAGCTTTCTACATATGGCTAGCCAATTTTCCCAGCACCATTTATTAAATAGGGAATCCTTTCCCCATTGCTTGTTTTTCTCAGGTTTGTCAAAGATCAGATAGTTGTAGATATGTGGCGTTATTTCTGAGGGCTCTGTTCTGTTCCATTGATCTATATCTCTGTTTTGGTACCAGTACCATGTTGTTTTGGTTACGGTAGCCTTGTAGTATAGTTTGAAGTCAGGTAGTGTGATGCCTCCAGCTTTGTTCTTTTGGCTTAGGATTGACTTGGCGATGCGGGCTCTTTTTTGGTTCCATATGAACTTTAAAGTAGTTTTTTCCAATTCTGTGAAGAAAGTCATTGGTAGCTTGATGGGGATGGCATTGAATCTGTAAATTACCTTGGGCAGTATGGCCATTTTCACCATATTGATTCTTCCTACCCATGAGCATGGAATGTTCTTCCATTTGTTTGTATCCTCTTTTATTTCATTGAGCAGTGGTTTGTAGTTCTCCTTGAAGAGGTCCTTCACATCCCTTGTAAGTTGGATTCCTAGGTATTTTATTCTCTTTGAAGCAATTGTGAATGGGAGTTCACTCATGATTTGGCTCTCTGTTTGTCTGTTGTTGGTGTATAAGAATGCTTGTGATTTTTGTACATTGATTTTGTATCCTGAGACTTTGCTGAAGTTGCTTATCAGCTTAAGGAGATTTTGGGCTGAGACAATGGGGTTTTCTAGATATACAATCATGTCGTCTGCAAACAGGGACAATTTGACTTCCTCTTTTCCTAATTGAATACCCTTTATTTCCTTCTCCTGCCTAATTGCCGTGGCCAGAACTTCCAACACTATGTTGAATAGGAGTGGTGAGAGAGGGCATCCCTGTCTTGTCCCAGTTTTCACAGGGAATGCTTCCAGTTTTTGCCCATTCAGCATGATATTGGCTGTGGGTTTGTCATAGATAGCTCTTATTATTTTGAAATACATCCCATCAATACCTAATTTATTGAGAGTTTTTAGCATGAAGGGTTGTTGAATTTTGTCAAAGGCCTTTTCTGCATCTATTGAGATAATCATGTGGTTTTTGTCTTTGGCTTTGTTTATATGCTGGATTACATTTATTGATTTGCATATATTGAACCAGCCTTGCATCCCAGGGATGAAGCCCACTTGATCATGGTGGATAAACTCTTTGATGTGCTGCTGGATTCGTTTTGCCAGTATTTTATTGAGGATTTTTGCATCAATGTTCATCAAGGATATTGGTCTAACATTCTCTTTTTTTGTTGTGTCTCTGCCCGGCTTTGGTATCAGGATGATGCTGGCCTCATAAAATGAGTTAGGGAGGATTCCATCTTTTTCTATTGATTGGAATAGTTTCAGAAGGAATGGTGCCAGTTCCTCCTTGTACCTCTGGTAGAATTTGGCTGTGAATCCATCTGGTCCTGGACTCTTTTTGGTTGGTAAGATATTGATTATTGCCACAATTTCAGATCCTGTTATTGGTCTATTCAGAGATTCAACTTCTTCCTGGTTTAGTCTTGGGAGAGTGTATGTGTCGAGGAATTTATCCATTTCTTGTAGATTTTCTAGTTTATTTGCGTACAGGTGTTTGTAGTATTCTCTGATGGTAGTTTGTATTTCTGTGGGATCGGTTGTGATATCCCCTTTATCATTTTTTATTGCATCTATTTGATTCTTCTTTTTTTCTTTATTAGTCTTGCTAGCAGTCTATTTTGTTGATCCTTTCAAAAAACCAGCTCCTGGATTCATTAATTTTTTGAAGGGTTTTTTGTGTCTCTATTTCCTTCAGTTCTGCTCTGATCTTAGTTATTTCTTGCCTTCTGCTAGCTTTTGAATGTGTTTGCTCTTGCTTTTCTAGTTCTTTTAATTGTGATGTTAGGGTATCAATTTTGGATCTTTCCTGCTTTCTCTTGTGGGCATTTAGTGCTATAAATTTCCCTCTACACACTGCTTTGAATGCATCCCAGAGATTCTGGTATGTTGTGTCTTTGTTCTCGTTGGTTTCAAAGAACATCTTTATCTCTGCCTTCATTTCATTATGTACCCAGTAGTCATTCAGGAGCAGGTTGTTCAGTTTCCATGTAGTTGAGCGGTTTTGAATGAGATTCTTAATCCTGAGTTCTAGTTTGATTGCACTGTGGTCTGAGAGATAGTTTGTTATAATTTCTGTTCTTTTACATTTGCTGAGGAGAGCTTTACTTCCAAGTATGTGGTCAATTTTGGAATAGGTGTGGTGTGGTGCTGAAAAAAATGTATATTCTGTTGATTTGGGGTGGAGAGTTCTGTAGATGTCTATTAGGTCTGCTTGGTGCAGAGCTGAGTTCAATTCCTGGGTATCCTTGTTGACTTTCTGTCTCGTTGATCTGTCTAATGTTGACAGTGGGGTGTTAAAGTCTCCCATTATTAATGTGTGGGAGTCTAAGTCTCTTTGTAGGTCACTCAGGACTTGCTTTATGAACCTGGGTGCTCCTGTGTTGGGTGCATATATATTTAGGATAGTTAGCTCTTCTTGTTGAATTGATCCCTTTACCATTATGTAATGGCCTTCTTTGTCTCTTTTGATCTTTGTTGGTTTAAAGTCTGTTTTATCAGAGACTAGGATTGCAACCCCTACTAATGTGCATTTTCTACATATGGAGATAGGCAAGAAAAAGGAATTGGATGTTGCCATTCATCTGACAAAATGCAGCTTGTCCTTGACCTGGGAAATCTCATTCTGTTTCTCGAGTGACTCAATTCTATAGATTCTGAAGAAGTGAGGGCTAATGCTTCAAAATGCTCCTGTCAGCCACCACCAGGTCTGAGCATACAATACAGTTGTATGGTGGCATCCAGTTGTCAACAAGCTAGGAAGAGACCAGGCCAACTGCTCACTTAGTGCGAGTATCCATAAATTTCTCTATAGATATAGACATGTATTGGATTGCAGATTTCTGCTTCAGTGTTAAGAAGTATGCAATATATTTACCATGATCAGTTTCTAAAATTCAAGGGTGTTGGATAAAACAGGCATTATGCTAGGTGCATACAACAGAAAAACAAATCAAGATGTGGTCCCAAGCCTCAACCCACATACACAAATAACTATATTACATCATGGAAATCTTGTGGAAGGCGTATCAAGTTCTCCAGGAATACAAATGAGGGAGCAATGACTTCTTGAGTGAGATGAAGGGGAAAGTCATGGAAGAGGTGGCGTTTTAGCCAGGTCTTGGAGAATGAGTAGGGTTTTCCAGGTTGAGACCCTCCAGCCATAGGCAATGACTTAGACAAAGCCCTTGTTTTAGGAGACATTGAAATGAATGTATGGGAAAGGGTACTAGAAAGGGACTTGAAACGTGGGAAGCCCCAGGTTCTTAAGGTCTTGCAATTTAAAGATTTTGGACTATAACCCAGTAGTTCTGAAACTTTAATGTATATTAGAATCACTAGGCAATCTTGTTATGATTTGGATTCAAGAGTTCTGTGATATGGCCAGAGATTCTGCATTTCTAATAAGCTCCCAAGTGACACAGGTGTTGCTGGTCTCAGCAGCACACTTTTGAAAACAAGGTACTAGAACTGAGCTACCAAGTACAGTAACCACTAGCCACATGTGCTAGTTAAACTTAAATTATTACTATTTACAATTAAAGTTAAAGCCTAACGAGACTCACTTGAACCTAGGAGCCAAAGGTTGCAGTGCAGTGAGCCAAGACCGCGCCACTTCACTGCAGCCTGGGTGACAGAGTGAGACTCTGTCTCAAAAAAAAAAAAAAAAAAAAAAACTTAAAGCCTAGTTCCTCAATCACACTAAACACATTTCACACTAAACACACTTCAAATGTTCAACAGCCACATGAGGCTAGTGGTGGCTGTATTGGACAATGCAGAAATAAAACATTCTCATCAGCACAGACAGTTCCACTGGTTATAGTGAAAGTTCCATTGATTCTAGAGGACAACACAGCACCATTAAGTACATTCAGAAAGGGATATAATACCAGCTAGTGAAAATAGCAACTTTCTTAACACATTGCTTGCCACGAGCCAAAAAACATTTGTGGTAGTTTTAAAATTTGTCCATAAATTCTTTTATACTCATCCCTTTAAGAGGTAGAGCCTCATTTCTAATGAACAAAATATGTAAAATGTGTCAGATGTGATGGTGTGACTTTCCAATCTCAGTCATAAAAAGCTACTGTGGCTTTCTCCTTGCTCTCTCTCCCTGGGGTCACTCGCTCTGAGGGAAGCCAGCGGCCATGTTGTAAAGACATTTTAAGCAGCCCTGTGAAGGTTCCTATGCTGTGAGAAACTAGAAACTAGGCTCCAGTCAACAGCTACGTGAATGAACTATTTTAGAAGTAGATAATCCTCCCGTTCCTGTTGAGATCAGTGCATCCCCAGCTAACATCTTGACTGCAACTTCATGAGAGACCCTGAACCAAAGTTATTCCCAAATTCCTGACCCATAGAAATGGTAAGATAATATCAAGCAGAGTCAAAATAATAATAAAAAAAGAAATGGTAAGATAATAAAAGCCATTAAGTTTTTGAGTAATTAGTTACATGGCAATAAATAGCTAATATACTATTGTAAGCACTTTGCATACTTTAACTCACGATAACCCTTTAATGGGACCTACCATCTTATCTGCATTTTATAGATGGGGAAACCAAGACAGAGAGGCTAATTAAGTTGTTTATGGTCACACATCCAGTAAGCATAGGAATAGAGATTCAAACTCATTAGGCTAGGATCCAGAGTCTTGCTTTCAACCACTACACTGCTCTATCTCAGATCGGTTAGAACACATTTCTGGGGGTAGCATGGAGGACAGCTCAGAGAGCCACTGAAGGAAAGAAGGCTTCCTCTTATTCTGGCTGCATTTTAGGGTCACCTAGAAAACTTTTACCAATGCCCAGCCTCACTCAAGATCGACTGAGGCATACAAAAAAATTAGCCTGGCGTGGTGGCAGGCGCCTGTAGTACCAGCTGCTGGGGAGGCTGAGGCAGGAGAATGGCGTGAACCCGGGAGGCGGAGCTTGCAGTGAGCCGAGATCGTGCCACTGCACTCCAGCCTGGGGGACAGAGCGAGACTCCGTCTCAAAAAAAAAAAAAAAAAAAAAAAAAGATCAACTGAGGCACAATCTATGAGGTGCTGACAAGCATTGTAGTCTTTAAACAACGTTCCTCCCCACCCCGGCTTCATGCCCAAATGATTCCAATGTGCAGCCGGGGTCAAAAGCCAAAGACAGAGCTTTGCTACTCCAAGTGTGGGCCCAGGAACTTGTTAGAAGCAGAATTTGTATTCCAACAAGATTGCCCAGGTACCTTTTATAACATTAAAGTTTGAGAAGCACTACTGTAATCCCTACCTCAGGCTATACCTGGTAATGGGCAGCAGCTGAACATCAAACAGGTTGACACATATGGTATTTGCTGCAGGAACTGAAATTGAGTGCATAGAGAAAAACCTAAGCTTAATATTTTATACAGTGGTTCTTCAAAATGCCAAAAAGATAGGAAGAAAGAAAACTTGAAGAGACAGGTGACAAAAGCAGAAGAGAACAAATAACTTTTTTCTGTGTCAAAGAGAAATAAAGAACTCCAGGGGGTGATCAGTAAAAATTAGGGTGTCAGAAAAGGCCTGCCTTAAAAGACAAAAAAATCAAACGAGACGGCAAAATTGCTTCTCATCCGTTTGAGGCCAGGGGTAACTCTATATTCACTGTATGACTTCGGAGGTTTTGTGAAAGGAATGTGAAAAACTGCTTTATTCTACCCTTATCTGTCTACAGTAAATAACATGCCAGTAAAAGTTAACAACTTAAAAGGGAGGGAACAGAACTTACTTTTGCCCTGTTCAGTTATCAGTAGTATAATTATAATTAATCCTCAGTTAAAGATGGCCAGCTTGATGACTTACCCATGGACTTTAAATTTTATCAGTGCCATCTGTCATTTAAAAAGCCAATCACATATGACATTTCCTCTTTCCTCCACAAGGCTTCCAGGAAGGTGGGAAGAGAGTGTCCTATCAATCTATACATGAGAAAATAAAGTTCTAGGGAGACTACTCGTAGCATCTTCTTACCTCAAAAGAGGGTAGTAGAACCCATGCCCCATATAGCTGCTGGGATAGTATAAGTTTCTACTACTTTCCCAAAAGGATGCATAACTTAAAAGGTAAATCCAAAAACACTTGCAACATAGATGGCAGTGTAACAGGTATTGTCAAACGCTGGAATCCATCTGATTCCCTGGAGGGCTTGTTTCAACACAGCTTCCCGGCCCCTATCCCCAGAATTTCTGACTTAGTAAGTTGGGCTGTAGCCAGAGAACTTGCCTTCCTAAAAGGTCCCCAGGTGATGCTGATGCTGCTGGTCCCAGGACCACACGTTGAGAACCACTGCAGTACAGCACAAAGAGCAACACTACAGCCTAGTGTTAAGGAGCTGGAACTCTGAGCCAGTGTCATGGTTGAAATCTCAACTCTGCTTCTTCCAAAATGTGTGACCTTAGACAGGTTACTTCACCTCTCTTTGTCTCCATTTCTTTATTTGTAAAATGAGGGCAACAGCAGGGCTATCTCTTAGAATTGTCATAATTATTTAAAATGTTAATTTATCTAAATGGCACAGAACAGTGCTTAGCAAATTAGAAAAGCTCTCTTAATGTCAGCCATTAACGCCAAAGCATGTTAAAAACAAAAAATTTATTTTTGTAGTAGCTTTACCCAGCATAATTAATCCATATTATTTACTTATTTTTTCAGTTATTTTATTGTAAATACAATTATCAATCTTGTTTGCAAATACTACATATAAAACAATAATCCATCAAATTGATACAGGAGATGAGCAGGGAAGTGCTGAGAGAAGGGCAGGGTCCCTGGCGAGGGTTCCACCCTTAGGCCTGTGCCCACAGACCTAGGTAAGAAAAGGCACTCATGCCTTCACGCCCAAATGTTGCATTTTCCAAGACCACCCTGGCTCACCACATCCCCATCCTATGCCTATTAAAAATCCTCGAGACCCTAGTAGGCACAGACCACAAGCAGCTGGATGTCAAGAGGAACACACTGGCAGAAGGGCACACAGGCAGCTGGACATCGAGAGGAGCAGAGGAGCAGAAGAACACACCGGCCGACACCAGCAGACACCAGCAGGCCATCGACCAGCAGAATGACATGGACACAGAGGGGAATTTGGCGGGGCGGGGGAAGTCAGAGGAGAGTCCAGCTGCTGAGCTGCCCAACTCCAGGGGAAAACCACCTTCCAGCTCCATCCTCCTTTCTGGCTCCCCATCCATCTGCTGAAAGCTACTTCCACTCAATAAAACCTTGCACTCATTCTCCAAACTCACATGTGATCTGATTTTTCTGGTACACTAAGGCAAGAACCCCGGGATACAGAAAGCCCTCTGTTCTTGAGATAAGACAGAGGGTCTCACTGAGCTAGTTAACACAAGCCCCCTACAGAGAGCAAAATTAAAAGAGCACCCTGTAACACACGCCCACTGGGGCTTCAGGAGCTGTAAATATCACCCCTAGATGCTGCCCGGGGGTCAGAGCCCACACGCCCCACAACCCATCCGTCTGCATGCTCCCCCTAGAGGTTTGAGCAGCAGGGCACTGAATAAGTGAGCCACACCCCCATGGCACGCACTGCAAGGGGGATAAGGAAACATTTCCCATATCAAAAATGAGAGAATAACATAATTTTCTGTGACTAAGAACATATTCCAGAAGGTATAAGCAGATTTTGTCCTAAGTCTGTAGCTACAACAGAATCAAAAGTGTTCTTTAAAATCACTTATACACTCTCATTATTAAACAAGAGTTTAATACATGCTATGGCATCAAAGGACTATGTCATGCTATGGCATGACAGGAAAAGGAAATGAGAATGTCAGGACAGAGCATTTTGGAGCAGGAAGAAGACGAAACCCAAGTGCAGGCTGAAAGACAATGGGACCCTTGGCCTGCCAGATCCAAGATGGCCACCCCTGCCTCCAACTCTGGGAGGCAAAGCCAGCAAAAGACCAACACCCAGAACACTGGACCTGGAATGAGCTAAGGGGGAATCGGCTAAACGAATTTAGAAAGAAATATTCAGATAGAGGGACCAGAAAAGGCAAACCCAGAGCTCTAAGAGGAGGAAGTGGAGGAGACAAATAGAAGGAACTGGCATGGTCTGAAGGATTCAGAGGCAAGAGTTTAAATCTCCCTGCAAGTTTTACAAATGTTGTACTTTCTATCAAAAAAAAATCACAAATGGAACTCTTGGCCCTTCATCATCTGGCCCTACATTCCTTCCACCTCAATTTCCTATTCCATCTTAACCACTTTTTGTCCAGTCAAACCCACTGCTTACGATTTTCCCAAAACATAAACTGATGCTACAGCAGCCAAGCCTGTGCTAACATTAGTCCCTGACTTGAAAGAAACTCCTCTTACTGAATCCTTTCCACCCTTTAAAGCCAAATGAAAATCCATCTTCTCTGCTTTCTCAAAGTAAAATTAATTTCTCCTTCCTTCATGCTTATTATGTTGTTTATTTTTAGTCATTCTGTTAACATATAATATCCTGCCTTATGGTATGGTAAACAGGTGCCTGCCTGCCTGCCTCAATCTTAAGTACTTGAGGCAAAGAACCAGCACTCTGAACTCAAGACATGGCTGGTAGTAGATGCTGCTGGGTTCTCTGAACTCACCATTCTCCTTCAGATCCAGACTTTCTACTATAAGTGCCTGTGGACCTGCCTCGGGGGCTTTGTCTTGTGACTAGATTGTGCTTGCCTGGGCAGAAAAAAAAAAAAGAACTATGGAATAAATGCCCCTGGGAACATCCCTCAGCCAATTATAGTCATGGACTGGTGGATTAATACCCGAAGCTCCCTTGTCTCTTTGACAGAACAACCCTGAGGTGCATGTTCTACACAGTCTCTGAGAGGTCCCCACCAGATTTGAGTCCTAGTTGTCTTGAGCTCATTAATGAACCCTGTATTGGCCCTCTTCCCAGCTCATTCTTACTCTCTACATTTTTGTTGGCATTTCCCAAAATCACCTCTCAAATAAATACCTGCTCTGGAATCCTTGTTTTGGAGTCTGTCTAGAGGAATTCAGTCTAAGACAATGCTGAATAAATATCACCATTTGGTTAGTCGACTTAAATTCATGGAAGAGGTGAGACCAAAAAGAAAGAGAAAACTCCAAGAAAGGAAGATAAATGTTAGGATAAATTTCCAGAGGCAAAAATGAACAAGTGGATGCTGAGATTTTCTCGGTCTGGAGGTTATAGGCTGGAGAGAGGGGCAGTCAAAGCTGAACAGGTAGACCACATGAGACCAGATTTCTAAATGATGGTCTTCCCCCATGAAATAAATGCTCAGAGGTTTTCTCATGGGATTTCTTTGTAGAACAGCTAAAAGTAATTAGCTTATTAAAGTTATTTTAGCATTATGAGATTAAGACATAGGTACTCTCAGGAAGTATATAAAAATATTCCAAAAAAAAAAAAAATCCTTCAGTTATAGGAGTGACAGCATGCTCAATGAGACTTTTTCTCATGTCTCAAAATTTCAGTGTAAATCCCAAAGCAAAGAACCGTATCAGTCAAGATGGGCAAGGTAAATCTATAGTAACAAACAGCCTCAAAATCTCAGTGGCTTAAAATAAAGATTTGGGGTTTTGCTTAGACAGCACGTCTAAGGTAGGTTTGTGGAAGGCTCTGCGCCATGTCACTCAGGGACTGTTTTCTTACAACTCCAATATTTCGAAAGCAAGTCTTTGCAGTTTGCCATTAAGGAAAAAGATGGGCTGGGGAGTGAAGTGCTGGCAATTAAATACTTCCATCCAGAAGTGAAATGTATGTTTATTATTCATATTTCAGAAAGTCACATTGCCACGACTAACTCAAAGGAGACGGGGAATTTTAGCCATCCACGTGCCTCCCAGTGGAGCTAAGGAGGGGGTTCCAGAAGATCAAGCAGAGGGTGAATCACTAGCCTCACGTATGCAAACCACAGGAGTTCCCAAGGGAAGGTACCCAACGAACCCATAAATGTGTCCCACAGAAGAGTCAGCATTTGGGCACCAGCCATCACAGTGAAAATGGTGGCCAACGGGTAAGAGAACTACACTGAACACCCACTTAAAAAA
Organism: Homo sapiens; assembly: GCF_000001405.40. Taxonomy (NCBI): domain Eukaryota; kingdom Metazoa; phylum Chordata; class Mammalia; order Primates; family Hominidae; genus Homo; species Homo sapiens. The sequence goes on along the minus strand of NC_000020.11, from coordinate 6,181,727 downwards.
AAAAAAAAAAAAAATCAGGAAATGGGATAAGGAATGGGATATTAAAAGAATCAACCACCATTCCTTCCCCTTTTCCAGACCCTGAGCCATGAGTCTTGAGGCCTGAGCTATGGAAAAATAACATTTTTAACTGAATGCAAGATTGAACGTATTGGTGTAGCTGAGACTACATTTTATAATACAAAAATGAGATTGTTCTTACAGCTAAAAGTGAACAAAAAGCTGTCATTAGGAGAAGGAGAGGCAAGGCAAATGCAACAGAGAATTTTGAGGTCAGTAATGGATAGAAAATAAGCCTATTTCCTGTTTTGCTTCCATCAAGTTAAGCCCATTCAATAAACCAGCTATATAAGCCAAAACAAAATGTCATACAAATTCTTACCAGCCCATTCTTCTCTTTATGATAGGAAAATAGAATGGAGAACATAAATTGTTTTTTTCTGTTCTATATTCTCAATATCACTTGGCCTTTAGAAAGTAACTTTTCTTGAGGCTAGCTTTGCAGATATCTAGTACACTGTCATTTACAAATAGCAACAGACTCAACTAATTTGTTTAAACAAATACAACTTTCACTATTTTACATAACTAAAGTGGAGCAGCTGCAGGATCAGTTAATTCAAGGCTCAATCACATCATAACCCTCAAAGTCTGAGATTATCCTGGATTTCCCTCATAGTCACAAAATGGCTGCTGAAGCTCTGCTAACACATTCCCACTTGGCAATATCCAGAGATAGGAATATAAGCATATCTTTTTCTCTGCTCCCCTTTTAAGATCAAAGAAAACATGTCCAGATGCTCTCCAGCTGACTTCTTTTCAGTGCTATTGACAAGAATTGGGTCACATTCTATTCTTAAATCACTCACTAGAAATGAGAATAAAACTATCACTATTGGCTTGAATTTAACAAGATTCACCCTTGGGGACCAGAATGGACTGAAGCCCATAGCCACCTGATACATGAATAAAGTGTGTTCTCTTAAAAAAAGAGGAAGTGGCAACTGCTGATAGGCAACAAACACATTATGTAAAGAAAAGAGGACTATTTGCACTACCAAGTGAAAAGAGGTGCCGTCTCGGGTAAGGTTTCTGGAAGCAGTCTGAGACATGATCTATTGCAGGTGGGCTCTCAGGGAAAGGGGAGTGGGAAAAGCAGGATGGAGTAGGAATCGTGTTACGCAAGTAGGAGGTAGTCTCAGCTGGACTTTACTTTCAGCCTGATTTCATGGGGAACCTTGGAGTGTGCGTAATATCACAAAATTGTTTCTACCTTTGGGCAAAGGACCAACATTTTGTATCCCATTTTCAGTCTGTCATTGTCTGAATTGCTGGATGCCCCAATTTTGGTTTCTGCCCAAAAAAAAAAGATGAAGTAACTTCCTTCAATGGGGGACAATTCTCTGGAGAAAGAAGCAACTATGTGTCACTAGGCATCAACTTGTACATATGAGGATGTGTGCCCCAGTCCAGTAGAAGGGATCTGGGTGGAGCACTAACAGTATCTGCCATAGATTTTCTCACTGAAAATAGACCTGAGGACTGAAAAACTTAACCGGCTTCTAGAATGGCACTCTCCTCAAGATGCTTGGCACACTGAGCCATTCTGGTCTCTCCTGTAGCAGGACAATTACAGAAAGTGTGGTCAACCCAGGCCACTGAGCAAAATATCTGTGTTTCCTCTGAAGGAGCCCAAATCTACTACTATGTTCTAAGGTCCAGCAGTTAGCTCCCATGGTGCAGCCTGAGTTTCAGATACAGCTTCTAGAGCGTTTACCGGACATGGAACCCAAGATGAAAAGCATCACATATTCATACCTGCCCTGCTGCATTCTCTGGAAGGTGCTGCAAGCCACACAGTCAAGCTAACAAGCTCCTGAAACTGCTGGTTCTGACAGAGCCTTGTGGGTCTGAGTGGTCTCATCCTTGGGACAAAAGCAACTGAACTTGGAATGTTGCTTGCTTTTATCCAGTGGTGTCAGGCTGAAGTGAGGTCAAGATGCATCTCCCAGAACCTGTGGCCCAGTCTGAGACCCATGGTGTTTCACTCAATCCACACACTTTTAACAAACTTTCCACTGCCAGCAATCTGATAGGAAAAGGTTAAGCAAGTCTGCCGCTTTCAGATTTCACTCCAGATTTCCTCTGGGTTGAAGAGGGCCAAGTTACAATAATTCCTCCTTTTCACTAGAAATGGAAAGAGTTTAGAGAATACCGAGACAATGAACAAGTCTTTCCAAATAATCTATTTTTAAAATTGCAGGCAGAATTGCAATGTACAGATTAATTTCCTCCTAAAATATAGATGGAGTTTGAAAATAGGAAGAAAGGAAGCCTAAACAAATCAATTTTGGCAGAAGTTAAAACATTCGAAAACAACTTGAATATTCTAGCTGCCCTCTAGCAGGAAATGGAAAAAATGTGAAAGCCTACTAACAATTAATATTAGAGAAGTCAGTGCTTCTAATAAGAATACACACACACACACACTATATATATATATATATATATATATATATATATATATATATATATATATATATAGAGAGAGAGAGAGAGAGAGAGAGAGAGAGAGAGAGAGAGAGTGTCTTGTATTTTATTTTCCTGCATTTGTGTCCTATCCCTTTTATATATAGTAAGCTTTTTTCCAGGAAGGTTTGATTCAGGCTCACTTTCATATACCCACTTCTACCCCTGTGTCTTGCACACAGAAGGCACTCAATCAGTATTTGTTGAATTTATGAGTAAATAAAACAGCAGAAATTTAGTTAAACCATTTTATGATCTGCTACCATCATCATTAATAGCACAACTTATCACTTACCCAACTTTAAAAAAAATTGGAACAAGTCCTCTTAACACTTTAGCACCTTATGTATAAATGACTTGCCAAAAACAAACTGAACTGCAAAGCCTTTAAAAGCAAAATCTGTTCCCTAATGCACTTCAATATCCGCAAATAATTCTGAGGGTAGAGAAATTCGTTGCATAAGGATGCCCTCTGCTGGAAAACACTTTTCCATGAAGCACAAAGGACGAACTTGCTTCATGGGTTCACCTACACTTCACATTTCCTTACCAAAGGAGAAAAAGGCCCACAGAGCCTAAATCTGAAACCCTAATGTGTCAAAAGGCTTGTAAACACTGAGGAGTAATCTTAGAATGCCATTGTTCTCATTTTAGGTAGAGTCATTTCAAAGTAAGGCACAAGAAGAAAGAAATCTTAAAAGATAAACTTCAGAAAGGTGTTCAGGTCCTAGCACTCAGAACATTTCATATGTGCTCAATTTTATCCCATCAATCCTGCCTTTTGAGACTGTTTTTCAGGATTTGTTTAGGATCAGAAGCACTAAGTCCAGTCTCTTGGTTGAATTTCATCTACAGAAATTATATCCTGATATTTTTCCTTATATTTCAGGAGATTGCTCACCTTCTGGCCCAATCTGATCTTAGTAATGCTAAAAGCAGACTAATTATTGACTTTTAAAATCTAGATAGCCCCTTTATTTCTTGTTCTCCCTCTCTTCTCCATCCTCCTTCTGTGTCTCTGTATTCTAGTTGGTTGTTTTATGTCCCATAAATTAATGTTTCTAGGAAGCCTCCTTTGGGGAAGCTGTTCATCTTTTACTGTTCTGCAAGGACACTGAGAAATTCTCTCCTATTAGACTTTGACATCAGTAGCATATGAAGGGTTAAAACCAACAGCCCAGCAGCCATAGCACTAACCAAAAGAGTAGGGGGCAGGAACCACAGGAAGTGCTGACATGGACGTGTCAGAAGTGGCTGGAATGGATAATTTCTTACTTGGAAACAAGTTCTGAGGTTCAGTTAAAACTCTCATTTTCACCTTTGCAATTTGGATTGGAGCAAATAACTGAAGAATAGTCAGCTAGTCTTTAGGATGGGAATAGTGCCTCAGGAGTACCCTTCTAGGAAAAAAGAGGGTCTGTAATGCAAGAACTCAAGTGCCCTTTTTCCCATCTCTCTCATCTCCTATCCTTCGGAACCTTCCTCCTGAGGATGCTCTGACTCTAGCCCACCCACCAATCCCCCTCAGCCCAGTTCCTTGGGAAAGTAAACCCCAGAGTTGCTTGCAAATCTCACAGAGAAGGTGTTCAAATTTTAGTTTAGCTAAGCTGGTGTGATGGTTAACACTGAGTGTCAACTTGATTGGATTGAAGGATGAAAAGTATTGATCCTGGGTGTGTCTGTGAGGGTGTTGCCAAAGGAGATTAACATTTGAGTCAGTGGGCTGGGAAAAGCAGATCCACCCTTAATCTGGGTAGGCACCATCTAATCAGCTGCCAGCATAGCTAGAATATAAAGCAAGCAGAAAAACATGAAAAGACTAGACTGGCCAAGCCTCCCAGCCTACATCTTTCTCTCGTGCTGGATGCTTCCTGCCCTCAAATATTGGACTCCAAGTTCTTCAGTTTTGGGACTCAGACTGACGCTCCTTGCTTCTCAGCTTATAGATGGCCTATTGTGGGACCTTGTGATTGTGCGAGTTAATTCTTAATAAACTCCCCTTCATATATATATATTTCATTAGTTCTGTCCCTCTAGAGAACCCTGACCAATACAGCTGGTTTGGGTTAACATTGCATAAAATTGTACAGAGCCTTTCTGGGGACTGGTCAATAGGATTATTTGGGTAGTATGTTGTTCCTCTCCAGAAAAGGCCAGCTGGATGTCCATCCAAAGGTCTCAGAGGGACACACGGATTGCCTTTGTGAGTATCCTAAAGTGAAGCCTGGCCCTCAGCCCCTTCAGTCTCAGTACCGGGTTTTGTCAGCACACTGGGAATGGATTCACCTGGGAATCACTTGGGGAACTCCAAAAAGTATGGCATCTGAATCACATCATCAGAGATTCTCATTTAATTGATCTGGGGGTGGCCTTCCATTTGGGTGTTTAGAAGCTTTCCCAGGTGATTCTAATGGATTCTAATGGGATTCTCATTCTAATGGCCAATGGCATAGACTCACATTAATCAAGCTCAAGGACATCTTCTCAGTTGACAATGAGAAATCATTGTCATGGGAAAGGAAAGGCATGAATCCATAGGATCATTGCATTCTTTACCTGTCTGGATATATGTGGGAGCTGAATCATAATCAGAAGATGATTTACTGGGGCTGAAATCAGCATAAAGGGGGTTAGAAGAATCAACTGTACTTATAGCCTGCTGTGTCCTCCCTGGAGAAAGAGTCTTGCAAATAGAACCAGAATACAAGTCAGTGAGCTAAAGCTGTGGCTCCCACACAGTGATGTACATCAGAATCATCTGGAGAGCTGATAAAGTGCACAGAAGCCCTGGCTGGTTGAAGTAGAAGAGGATTGGCCTTTGTACATTTACAAAGTTTCCCAGGGTATCATCCCAGGGAAGTGAGTAAGCCTCAGAAAACTGTGGTTTGTATGTTGTTTTAATGTTTCCAAGAAGTATATATTACCCATAAAATTAACAAAAATAAAGCATTTTTCAATGTAGAAGAAGTATTACATATATACAGAAAATCATTAAATTACAGGGAGGGTGGTATTTGATTAGCCACCATAATGATCTGGCAAACATTTTCACATATATTTACAGGGACAGCAGGCAGTGAGCAGCTGAGAGGCTAAAATTTGGACTTTTTGTTCTCATACTGCTCCAGAGCAAGTCTCAGAAGAGAGGCAGTTAATATCTCATACCTGGGTTCCACAGACTCTTACATGTTTAGATGCTGTATAAGGGCTTTCAGGTTATAGAGAGTGAAATGGCTCCATGGCATAAGACATAGCTATTCATAACATGAGTTCCATTGCTTACAGGAAAAGAATCTGAAGATAAACACAATTTTGGAAAACACTAACTTTGTGTCCTGAGATTCTTAGTTGTTTCTGAGTAGTTTATGATTTAAAGATCACACTGCCTAAGAACATTTGTCATCTACTTGTTTCAGCAAATGGTTGATTGTGGTGGGTTTCACTTGGCCCCAGGGTTAGTTCTAGTCACTACCTGAAGATGCCCAAACCACTTTCATCCTTGTTTTGGCATTGGTTTAGCAAGAGGCAGAGATAATGAGGTACAGTTTGGCTAAACTTAAGCATAAAGGGTTTCTCTAATTGACACAAAATGGAAATCCCAGCCTAAGACTTCTGAAAACCGAGATGGGCCTACAGAAGAGCTGGTTGCATGAGGTCAAAGTAGCTACTAGCAGGAAAGTGAGGCTGATGTTGAGGCTGCTGGCCAGAACCTCCCTAAAACAGTAGTAACAGGATTTCTAAGGCATACATCCAAAGGGACAAAGAAAACAGAAGAGATTATAGCAGATAATTAGTTGTTCAGTTTCTAAAGAGCATAAAGTTGGTAGAGCCCATGCACAGCCAAAGGTGAGGTGCCATGTTGAAAACAGAGTCGTTGAGCAAAAAGTCCACAGAGAAAAGAGTAAAAGTCCTGGCTCCCCTTCCCTTCTCAGCAACGAGGATACAGGCAGGCCTGTCTATACCCTCTTCAGCAGGAGAATTGAAATTTATTTACTGGAGAAAGCAGATTTAAATGTATTGATTTAAAAAATCAACACAATTTTTAGAAAATAAACCAACTAATGAGAAAAAACAAACCTAGAGATACTGAGATATAGAGATTTTTCAGTAAAATAGCCCAATCAGATCACCCCACAGTGAAGGCCACCAATCAACAATCCTTACCATGCCTAGCCTCACTCTCAATACAACCAAGAGTCACCTTTGAGGGAAACTTCCACCATGAAAATGAGATTAAAATAAACTAACAGAATAAGAGAACACCAGAGGAAACATGGACAAAGTAGGATGGGGTTCAGGAAAAAAAATGTTTTTCTATGAACTGTCTTGAAAATTCTCATAAATAAGGGAAGGTATTATAGCATCCATAATAGACAGGAATCTATAAGAAGAAACACTTGGGAGTAAAATAAAGGATATCTTAGAATTAAAACTAAGCAGAAATTTTAAAAATCCATAAAGTATTTGAAAAATAAAGATGAGGAAATTTCCCAGAAAACCAAACAAAAAGACAGAAAAATGTAGATAAAAAATAAGAAAATTTATCTGCTCAGGGGAAAAAAAATAATCAAATATTTCCTGATTATTCAGGAAATTTCCCAGAACAGAGAGATATGGGTTTCCACATGGAAAAGGTCCCCTGAGCATCAAGCAAAATGGAAGAAAATAGACTCACACCAAGGTGCAGCACCACAAATTTTCAGAACTTTGTGGACAAAGAAATTTCCAAAAGAGAAAAAGAGTTGGTCATATTGAAAGATTAAAGACAGCATGGCATTAGATTTATCAATAGCAACAATGAACTCTAAAAAACAGTGCTTTTCTATCTAGAATTTTATACTCCGGTTGCAGTGGGCATCCTCTAAAACGGCCTTCGTTATTCTTTGCCTCCTGGTATTCATGACCATGTATAATCTCTTTCCCTTGAAATATAGGCAGGACCCTAGTGCTATGGACTGAAATGTGTCCCCACAAACTCACATGTTAAAGCTCTAACCCCCTAGTGTGGCTATATTTGGATTAAGAAGTATTAAGCTTAGGCCAGGCACCATGGTTCATGCCTATAATCCCAGCACTTTGGGAGGCCGAGGCTGGTGGATGACCTGAGGTCACAAGTTCAAGACCAGCCTGGCCAACACAGCAAAACCCCATCTCTACTAAAAAATACAAAAAATAGCTGTGTGTGATCGTGCACGCCTGTAGACCTAGCTACCCGGGAGGCTGAGGCAAGAGAGTTGCTTGAGCCTGGGAGGCGGAGGTTGCAGTGAGCCAAGATCACACCATTGCACTCCAGCCTGGGAGATAGGGCAAGACTCAGTCTCCAAAAAAAAAGAAAAAAGAAAAAAGTAATTACATTTAAATGAAGTCATAAGAGACCCTGATATGATAGGATTAAGTCCCTATAATAAAAGACACTAGAGAATTGTCTCCCAAGAAGGCAGCTGTCTGCAAGCCAGGAAGAGAGCCCAGACCAGAGCCCAACCATGCTGGCACCCGGATCTCGGACTTCCAGCCTCCAGAACTTTGAGTAAATACAATCTGTTATTTAAGCCTCCCAGTATGTGGTGTTTTGGTATGGCAGCCCAGGCTTATTGTGACATCTAGTGACTCACTAATGAATTGGGGACAGCAAAAGTGTTGGACTGTAACTTCTGAGATTAGGCTACAAAAAGGCTCTGGTTTCCTCTTGCTGGTCCTCTCTCTCTCACTTGCTCACTCCGAAGGAAGCCAGCTGCCATGTTGTTCACTGCCCTATGGAGAGCCCATGTGGCAAGGAACGGAGAGAGACCTCCAACTAACAGCCAGTGAGAAACTAAGGCCCTCATACCAACCACCTATGAAGAAAGGAATCCTGAAAACTGCCACGAGTGAGCATGGAAGCAGATCCTCCCTCAATCCAGTATTGAGATGACTGCAGCCCTTGCTGTCTCTGATCGCAGCCTGTGTGACACTCTCAGCCAGAGAACACAGCCAGATTCCTGATCACAGAAACTAGAAAATAATAAATGCTTGTTATTTTTAGCTACTTCAAGTTTGGGGGGTAATTTATTATGCACAAAAAACAACTATCAATCAAATGTATAGTTAAAGACAATTTCAAATATTCAACGTTTCAAAGAATTTACCTCCCTTGCTCTATTTTTTCTTAGAAACAAACACATGGAATTATGAAAACATGGGAGCCAACACAAGAGACAGGGAAAGGGGATCCCCAAGATGAGTTTAAAAGGGGAGATTCCAGAACATCAGCCGAGTGACAGTTCTAGAAATCAATAAGGTTCAAGGTGGAGCACAAAGATAAAGAACCCCAGAAGGGACAGATCCAAGGGAAGAAGAGGACATTGAATGGTGATCTAATCTTTTTCTAATAAATTGAAAAGAGATATACACTTAAGGTGGGAGTTTGGGGTGCATTGGTAATAGATCTATAGAAAAGTAAGGGAAGAGACAGAGAGAGAAAGAATGATTAATATCCAGAAAAACAAAAAAAAAAGCAGTTTAAGAAAGGAAGCATAATAATAGCATATACTATATGACTCTATGTATTAGTTTGCTAGGACTGCCATAACAAAGTACCATAAATTGAGTAGCTTAAACAACAAAAATATCTTGTCTCACATTCCTGGAGGCTAAAAGTCTAATATTAAAGTGTCAGCAGGGCTGGTCCCTTCTGAGGACTATGAGAGAGAATCTGTTCCATTCCTCTCTCCTGGCTTCTGATGTTCGCTGGCAATCCTTGGTATTCCTTGGCTTGTAGAAGCATCACTCCAATCTCTGCCTTAGTCTTCATGTGACATTCACCCTGTGTGCATGCCTGTCTCTAAATTTCGTAAAATGTCTAATTTCCATAAGGACACTGGTCATATTGGATTGGGGTCCACCCAAATGACCTCATTTTAACCTCATTGCCTCTGTTAAGACTATTTCCAAAGAAGGTTACATTGTGAGTACTGAGGGTTAGGAATTCAACATCTGAGTTTTAGAGAGACACAATTCAACCCATAACACTTGGGTATCAATAATATAAATACTATTGAGCTAACCAAAAATTATATGTATTTGAAGAAGAGAGGAAAATGTTTGTGTGCACACATGTGCATGTGTATAAAAGAGTGCATGTGAGAGAGACTTTGACAGCTTAAATCATCATATTCCACAGTAGAAAATGAGCAGATAATACCTACAACTAAAAAAACAAATCAAGATGGAGCTGTATATCCTTGATATTTAGAAATATGGAGACAAGCCTGGCCAACATAGTGAAACCCCATCTCTACTAAAAATACAAAATTGGCCAGGCACAATGGCAGGCGCCTGTAATCCCAGCTACTCAGGAGGCTGAGGCAGGAGAATCACTTGAACCTGGGAGGCAGAGGTTGCAGTCAGCCAAGATTGCATCACTGCACTCCAGCCTGGGCAACAGAGTGAGACTCTGTCTCAAAAAAAAAGAAAAGAAAAAGAAAAGGAAATATGGAGGCAAACACCCTTTTCTGCTTGAACTAGGCAGAGTGAATTCTGTTGCTGGCAGCTGTGGTACATTGATTGCACTGGTGGCCCCAATTAATTCTTAAATCCATACCCTTTGCAATATGATTTTGAAGCTCTTCCCGTCAAGAGAGGGAGTCTGTTTTCCCTCACCCTGTGACTTGCTTTGTCCAGTAGAATGTGGTGAAAGTAGTGGTGTGCTTGCTCCAAGCCTAGGCCTCAAGAGGCTTTCATACTTCTCTCGTTCTTGGGTCCCTGCTCCTACCATGAGAACTAGCCAAAGTTATCCTGCTTGGGGATGAGAGACCATATGCAAGATAGCCTGTTGGCTCAACCAAGATCAACCTACACCAGCCTACAGCTAGTTGACTCCAAACACGTAAAGAAAGTCCAGCCCAAATCAGAAGAGATGGCCATCAGAAACATAACTGACTTCAGGCATGGGAGTGATTTCAGCTAAACTAGAATAATCTCTCAGCTAGTCGATACATTTTTTAAGAATAATAAATGATTGTTATGCAAAGCCACTAAGTTTTAGAGTAATTTGTTACCTAGCAACTAAACTAACTGATATAGCAACTAAGAACCCTGCCTGGTATAATGGCTCTTCATACCTCTTCATCTTTTTTGATATGTTGCTGAAGCTTAAAGAAGTAAGGGGTTACACATATCACATCTGCTATCCTGTAAGAGGAACTAAACATAGAAATAACTGTGCTAGGAAAACGTATTTAGATACTGTGTTTTCTTTATAGAAGAATCAGATAGGATGTATTTTCTGGACGCAACACAAAAAGGTATATAAGAACATCTCCCTGTTTGCCCTCTGTTTTTAAAAGCCTGAGGTTACTGGAGAAATGGGGGAGAAACAGGTGCCTTTGATACAGTATAGCAGAAGCAGAGAGAAAAGGAGTGAGGTTGTCCAAGCTTTGGAATGAGAAATTAGTTGGTGTTTCTTTGCCACACCTCAAGCTAGAGGCAGGATCTCAGGAGAAGTGACTACTTGATGCCCCCAGTACAACTGGACCAAAGCACCAGGGTTCCACAAAGATTCTCATTTCCACAGAAAGGATGTCCACTCTTTTTTTTTTTTTTTTTTTTTTTTTTTTTTTTTTTTTTTGAGACGGAGTCTCGCTCTGTCGCCCAGGCTGGAGTGCAGTGGCGGGATCTCGGCTCACTGCAAGCTCCGCCTCCCGGGTTCACGCCATTCTCCTGCCTCAGCCTCCCAAGTAGCTGGGACTACAGGCGCCCGCCACTACGCCCGGCTAATTTTTTGTATTTTCAGTAGAGACGGGGTTTCACCGTTTTAGCCGGGATGGTCTCGATCTCCTGACCTCGTGATCCGCCCGCCTCGGCCTCCCAAAGTGCTGGGATTACAGGCGTGAGCCACCGCGCCCGGCCGGATGTCCACTCTTAAAAGATAATGTGCACTTAAACCATGAGCTTGTTAATGGATACCATGGGATTCTCTGCAAATGTCTGCTCTGAGGCTTATACCTGACTTGGGATGGGGGCAGACAGGAAACTCCAACAATGAATGAGATGTACTATCCCAGCAGCTCAGAAAGATTAGGACTCAGATACAGATTTAAATTTATTCTTGAAAAATAACATGACATGCATGTCTTGCACATCTGAGTTTGTGTAGTCAAATTCAAGCCCATTACATAGGTGAGTTTCCATTAGGATTTGCCAAGAAATTCAAAGCTGGTGAAGCAAATAAGCAAAGAGGGCCTTTGGAAGTAAGTCATAATAACCATTTGTCCAGCATCCCAAATCCCACGCCCGGACCACATACAATAACATCAATTCTTTCTAGAAAGCTATTCCTCAAAACACACTGTAGCATATTTATTGACAATGGACAATATTTAACAGAATTGGTATTTCACTATTTCTATTGTATATCTGTTTATCATAGATAATAGTGTGCCAATTAACAGTTTGAGGTCTCTCAGCTCTAAATTCATCTTTCATTGCCTGCTCTGCAAAAATTGAGCTAGACCCTGAAAATATTTCTCCTTTACCAGCTGGCATGATATTAAGTCTTGTCAGTAGAGGGAATGGGAAAGAAGGGGACATAAGAGGAAGGGGTTTTTTTCTTTCAGGTCTTATGTTCTCCCCCTACCCAGCTTCTATGGTGTGAGGCTGCTCCAGTGTCTGGCTTCTGAAGTGAATGATTTCTTCAGCATGTAGCAATAGCAGCACCCAGTGGCTGGCAGTTCACTCAACACTACCAGGGACCTCTCTGTGGACACCCAGCATCTCAGAGGGATGATTTCCAGTAAATTCCACTGTCATGACATCTCAGCCAACTTACTCACCATGCAGAAAGCCATGGCCTTGTCTGCCCAATAAGGTTGGATCCTCCCTGAGGGGAGGAAGGAACATTCTTGGGAGTGCTATCTATGGGTAGAAGCTACTTCTCATATCTGCTTCTTCCATTCTTTACAGTTCTCTTTACTTTTTACTAGACAATCCTCATTACATCAACCCTCTGTTATAGCTAATAATTTTTCATACAAAACTTTCCAGGTTCAAATTACTGTGTGCTTTCTATCTCTTGGTTGGACCCTGATTGATACAGTAGTTTGGGTTTGTTTTCAGGTATTTAACACTAAACTTTTGGGCAAGAAAGGCTTTGATTTTTTAAGAGATAGTGTCTTCCTCTGTCACACAGGCTGAATTGCAGTGGTATGATCATAGCTCACTGCAGCCTTGAACTCCTGGGCTCAAGCGATCCTCCCACCTCAGCCTCCCAGGCAGCTAGGATTACAGGCATTTGCCACTATACCCAGCTAGATTTAAAGCACATCCTGCAATTCCACTTCTAAGCACACATCCAACAGAAATGTATGCGTATGTTCACCAAGACTTGTACAAGATTGTTCATTTCAGCACTGTTTTTAGAAGCCAAAAACTGGAAATTACAACAGTAAAAAATGAATGAATAAACTGTTGTTTAGTCACATCACACAACAGAATATTACAAGCGATGATAATAAATGAACATGAATTAATCTCACAAGCATAATGTTAAGCAAAAGAAGCCAGCACTAAAGAATACATCTTGTATTATTTTAAAACACATTGTATGATTGTATAACTTACTCAAGAACAGACAAAACTAATCTATGGTGTTAAGAGTCAGATGTAGCCTTGGGGAGGTGGGAAATGACTGGAAGTGAGGTAGGAGACTTGTTTTCTAGTCACAACCCTGTTGACCAAAGGAGGATCTGGTCCAGACAGGATAATGTGAAGAAACTGGCCAAAATCAGCAGATGGCAATGACAGTAATCCCCAGCTTCCCTCATTGTTCATTAGCATGGGACACTCCCACCAGCACCATGACACTTTACAAATGCCATGGCAACAACCTGGGAGTTACATCTTTCCATGGCAACAATCTGGAAGTTACTGCCCCTTTCCAAGAAAGTTCTACCCATATTTTCAATTTGCATTAAACTACTCCTTAATTTGCATATAATTAAAAGTGGGTATAAATGCAGTTGTCAAGAGCCCATACCTTGCTGACTCTGGGTGCATTGCCTATGAGTTATCTGTGCTCCACAAGGAGCAGTGCCATTCAATAAAAGATTCCTGCCTAACACCACTGGCTCACCTTTGAATATTTTCCTGGGCAAAGCCAAGAACCCTCCCAGGCTAAGCCCCAGTTTGGAGGCCTGCGTGTCCTGAATCAGAAGGCGGTATAAGGAGGTTTCTGATTCTGAAAGGCTGATAATGTTCTGTTTCATAATCTGGGTGCTGGCTTCATGGATATGTTCAGTTTGTGAAATTTGTTGAGCTGCTTATTAATGATATGTGCACTTCATATATTTATTTATATATATATTTTTTTTTATATATATATATATATGTAAAGTTAAGGAAATATGTGGACAGATATGCTTATATACTTTAAGGCCCCAAAACTTTATTTCTCCAAGTTTCATTCTAGAGAAATGCTGACCAACATGTTCGGGGGTAGCTCAGTGCAAGTCCTCTGAGAAGTAGGTGCCAAGATAAGACTGGACATGCAAATGATTTATTGGGAGAAATGTCTATGAAGAATAAAGGGAAAAGGAGCAGAAGAAAGCAGGAAGACCCTTCAGGCTATGATAAAGATCTGATATCTATGAGAGAGAGAAGGAAAAATTAAGTAGGATGTGCTTCAGAGCAGAGAACAATTCTGAGAAAATTTAAGCCAAGTTGATGGGGAGTAGTTCAGCCAAAGTTGCCCTGGAACCACACATCAGTCCCAGTTACAGTACTGCTGCCATGCTGTCACTCACTGGGAGCAACATGGTAGAAATGTGGCCTGGCTGTAATGGATCCAGAGGTGTGGCAGCTGGAACATCAATCAGCTCTGTTCCCACAGCAGGGTCTCTCCAAGGGCAACGGCCACCCCTGGACGCATGCACTAAGAATGTTCTTTGCCAATGAGAACACATGAACACAGGGAGGGGAATGTCACACACTGGGGCCTGTCAGGGGGTTGGGGACAAGAGGAGGGAGAGCATTAGGACAAATACCTAATGCATACAGGGCTTGAAACCTGGATGATGGGTTGATGGGTGCAGCAAACAACCATGGCACATGTATACCAATGTGACGAACCTGCACGTTCTGCACATGTATCCCAGAACTTAGTAAAATGAAAAAAAAAAAAAAGAAAAAAAAAAGAACGTTCTTTGCAACATTGGTTGTACCAGCAAAGAAGTAAACAACCCCAGTGGTCAAGTGGTAAAGAGGTAACAAAATAACTACATATCCACATTGTAGAACATTAAAAAGCAGTTAAAAGGAACCAGGTACATCTATATGTGCTAACCTGAACAAATATCCAAGACATCATTGAGTGAAAATAACAAAAGAAATTGCAGAATTCTTCTCTTTTTTCTGTGACAACAAACAAACCTGGTTTAATTACAAAAAGCATTATTCCTTTTGATGACACAAGGCAGGTGGATCACAAGATCAGGAGATCAAGACCATCCTGGCTAACAAGGTGAAACCCTGTCTCTACTAAAAATACAAAAAAAAATTAGCCGGGTGTGGTGGTGGGCACCTGTAGTCCCAGCTACTTGGGAGGCTGAGGCAGGAGAATGGCGTGAACCCAGGAGGCGGAACTTGCAGTGAGCCAAGATAGCACCACTGCACTCCAGCCCGGGCGACAGCGTGAGACTCCATCTCAAAAAAAAAAAGCAAGTTTACACACGTGACATTATTCTTTAGCTGTCTTTGGTAAACCCATGAATTGATGTGCTAATTGATTTGTCATCATTACTTTTCCATTTTTCTCTTCTCAGGCACTGTTTGACTGAGGCCTTTGAAAATATATTTCAATAGAAGTTTCTGTCTTTCAGGGGAGAAGAATCAGCCATTGACGTCAATGGCCCCTCACAGCTTTGTTCTTTTTTTTTTTTTTTTTTTTTTGAGACAGAGTCTTACTCTGTCACCCAGGCTGGAGTGCAGTGGCACAATCTCGGCTCACTGCAGCCTCCCCCTCCCGGGTTCCAGCATCCGGGTTCCAGCATCCTTAGTAGCTGGGATTCCATGCACCTGCCACCATGCCTGGATAATTTTTATATTTTTAGTAGAAATGGGGTTTCACCACACTGGCCAGGCTCGTCTTGAACTCCTGACCTCAAGTGATCTGCCCACCTTTGCCTCCCAAAGTCCTGTGATTACAGGCATGAGCCTAGCCCACAACTTTGTTCTTAGTCTGTAGCCTGGCTTCCACCTCTGAAATCTTATTCTTTCCTTCTGTCCATTTTTTTTTAGGAACAAGATATTCATATTATTTGGGGGTCTTTGAACCCCAAAGTAATGTACTTTTTCTACAAAAATTATGCTACATCTTGATGAGTTCACCCTGATTTTTTAGGTTGGTAGGTAGGTTGGTTGGTTTTCCAGTAACTTGGAAGAAGCTGCTCTGGGTCGCTCCCTTCTTCCATCTGATGGTCTTTACCACATGTTCCCTCTTCCCTAACCATGACCAGTTGTACACATCTCCCAGGTGGCTTCCTGGTATAAGTGGCCAAGAACTAGAGTCATTTTAACTTGAATGAATCATGGATAATAATACAAGTCCTGGCATCAGACCTCCCAGACTTTACATCTTGGCTCCATTGTTTACTTGCTGAATGACTTAAGCCAAGTTAGCTAACCAGCCTTCACCTGAAAATGGGACCAGTAACAGCAATTATCTCCAAAGGGTATGTTGGGGATTAAATGAGAAAAATCCATATAAACTGCTTAGAGCTCAGCTGATCAACTAGCCTCAGAACCAACCTTTAACAGTACAGGACACAAAACACTTCAATTTTCAGAAGCAGCACCCTGGTGGGAGACAAGAACATGCTTTGCATTTCTTTAAAGCAAAAAGTTTATGGTCAGTCTCCTAACTCAGCAATAGGCACTGGGAACAGTTCCAGACACCTGCAAAGTGACCAAATTCTAGTTCTTAGATTTGTAGAGACCTGGATGAAGTTAAGAGGACTGTGACTCAGCAGAGTGGCTCTCACTCTGCCAAGTCAGAATGTCGCCATTACCAAATCCCAGCAGGAAACAAAATCCAGGGTCCCTCAAGTTCAGTGAATTCCAAGTAATTAGAATTGAGAGCAAAAGATTGGGCTTTTAACACGACATGTTTATAACATTTGTCACTGAAGTAGGTCAGCTGCTTATGGGGACCATAAATAGTTCTGTCACTTCCCAATTTCCACATCTCACATTTTTTAAAGTTTCTTTTTGAGATCAAAACAATAAAAACAGAGATCAGAAGATGATATATGCCAAGATGTTAAGCAACTATGAATGACCTTTTAATACATGTGCTCGCTTAGTCATGGCTTTCAGATGGCCAGCCTTTCAAGTTGGAATTACAAATAATTCCCTCCGTCAGCAAGTCGCAAACAACCCACTTATCAAAAATTGTCAAATAAATCTGTCACTCAATAAGGGTTACAAGGCATTTGTAAATGTGGCAGAATTCCCAAAGCAACAAGCCCCCCAGCACCCTTGACTGTCTCTTCGGAGGGGAAAAAACAAATGATTGAACAGTTGCCGGAGACTCAGGCAGCCAAGGGGTCGACAGAAGCCAAGAAGGCCAGCTGCAGGCTGCAGGCTCAGCACTTGGCCAGCACACACAGACGCTGTTCATTCTCAGGGCCCACCTGTCAGCCAAGCTGTGCAGGTGTTAGCTGAACAGTGCTTTTGCCTCTCTGGCCCTTCCATGATTCCTAAAGAGAAAGGACTGTGAAAGAAGGACGAGAACACCCATCTGGAATCACAGACTTTCTGAACTTTTAACCCAGAAGAATCCTTAAAGATCCATCTACCTTACCTCCCCCACCTTCCTTCATTTCAGAAGAAAATGGTGCCCTGCAAAGATCACAAGATTTGCCTGGGATTACCAAAGGTAGAAGTCAGAATTTTTCCTGGACCTCTCAACCCCAGCCACTTATTGAGCACTGTAGGAGACAGTCAAGCAAGGGAGGAGATACAGTCTGTCTTCAAAGATGTCCTAACATGGTTCAATGTGAAGGGCCTGGCATACAATGCATGCTCAAAAAATGATAGTGCCTACCCTTCCCCTAAGTAAGCAAATTGAATTCTAGCTGGTAAAGTATCACTTAAAGGCTGCAATGTCAAATACATTTGAAATAGACCGTTAACCCACATTTTTAGCCAAAAAAAAATTTCATTGAAATAAACTATCAAATCTTTAGATCCACTTATAGAACTTTTTTTTCAAAATTCCAATGATTGCCAAAAGACAAAAGTTTCTAACTCTGATTCACCAAAATGAATATTAACGTGAGCAGTCTGACCAAAAGCGGTTCAGAGTAGGTGCTTGCCACTTGAAAGGGTCTTCCAGAAAGTTCTTGCCTGAAATACATTTGTAAGCCCTCCTTTTTCCTGGTCCTTCAGGTATATTTTGTCTTTCTGTTCCCGTTGAGTTCTCATATGATCATATATTGTGTTCATTTTCTCTCTCACTCCCTTGCCTAGTAGGAGGATTTTTCGGTGTCCATTGAGAACATGGGCTTAAGAATCAAACTCTCAGATCTAGATTTCATTTGGGGGACTTGAGTGAGTTGTTCAAAGTCTTAATTTCTTCATCCCTAAAATGGGAATAGTGGTAGAGCTATTCCTAGGCTCTATTAAATTATGTGAGGATTAAATTAAAACAATGCCACTGAGGTATTCAGGAATTTACTATGTGTTGGGGAGTATACTAGACCCCAAAGACACAGTAATGATTAGTGATCAAGACCCCTGTTAGAGCCTAGCACAAAAGAATGGCAAACCCTAAGCCCTAAACAAATAATCACATAAACAAATACACACAGGCAACTCATGTCCACGAGAGGCAAAGGGACTGAAAAGGAAGAAGATGCCAATGGGAATTTTCAGGACATGTGCTTTAAAGCAGAGGGAGCAAAAGAACCACACTTCCTTCCCCGGAGGCTTTATCTGGGACAAGCCCTGAGCTGGTAAGACCCCAACTGCAGATGGATTCTATCAGCATCCCTAGGATCTGTTCTTATCCCAACTCTTCCCAGGAAACTGAGCAAGGGTTCCCTAAAAGTGGAAAAGGAGTCTACACTTATTCCCAAACCACGTGAAGGAGCCATCCCATGTTCTCACCTGGACACAAAGGAGTCTGCTGCTCACCTGAATGATATCAATGAGCTCATCCCACAGCCCTTTTCCTGCCTTGAGGAGAAGTAAGTGGGACAATGACATAGATCAGGAGAATGAAGAAGGTGGGGGCGATGGGTCACCTGGGGGCATAAAAGGCCATTGCTTTTGGGAAGGTGGCCCAAGCAGAGTTGTGAGAACCTGTGTAAGTGCTTCAAAGAGCAGCCTCACCAGGAGGGCCTGCAGGAAAAGCAAACACTGCAGCAAAGTTTTTTGTTGTTATTGCTGCTGTTTTTATAAATCTCTGAACTATTCTACTTTGTTGTTAAAAATGACTAAATTAAGCTTTTAAAAGTAAAATATACCCAAATGAAAGAGAACTGTTATTCAACTCCTGGGGAAGAGAGGGGGGACTTCTTTTGGGCAGAGCATCTTTCCATGCCTATTTTTGCTTCTAATTTCTCTGCTTCAGGACCAGGAAATGTGTCCATCCCTTGGACGGCCCTGTTCAAGAGAATTCCCTGGCAACCTGCTCTCAAGAGCTGACTTTGGAAGTCACCCAATCCTCCGCAGCTGCTCTCCAAGCCCCACAGGCATGGAGTGAGGAAAGGTCAGGCAAAGTGGGGCTGCTTGTGGCCTTGCCTTACTTTGGCATCACTCCGGGTCCAGGGAATGTCCAGCAGGAGCAAATTCCATGAGCCCAGATTCCAGAACAAGTGTGTTTTCACAATGATTCCTGTCAACTCCCTTTTAAACTGACAGAATGCATGTTTCTGATGGCCAGAGTCCAACGCTGAAGTGTGTGTGTGTGTGTGTGTGTGTGTGTGTGTGTGTGTGTAAGAGAAAGAAAAAGAGAGAAAGAGAGGAAAGAAAGAAAAAGAAAGAAAGAAAGAAAGAAAGAAAGAAAGAAAGAAAGAAAGAAAGAAAGAAAGAAAGAAAGAAAGAAAGGAGAAAGAGAGAGAGAGAAAGAGAGAGGCAGCCTGAAAGAATCCTGGCACCAGGCTACTGCTTTTTTAATAAATGTAGAGCTGACTACATGATAAGGGAGCAAGTCAAAAAAGACAGGAAGGATAGCCAAGAAAGCCAATGCCACAGAAAGCTGAAGCCTTCTTTCTGCCACACCAGAGGCATTGGTTCCAGGGAAGTGAAGTGTAGCTGTCTTAACACTGACAGAAAGACCTTGTAACACTTCTCATTGTCACATTTGTTCTTTCGTGACACTCTGTGTTGGATTCAGCAACTCCCATCTAACAAATAAGGATGTCTCCTGAGTCAGTGACAGTTCCCTCAAGCCAGATCTAAATCTTCTAACGTCATGCCCATGCGATCCACTAGACCACCCTCATTCTAGGACATAAACATCTACCCTGATGTGCTTCACAAACCTAAATGTGGCTCCAGTTTCAGCCCTGATGTGTAAAGAGTTTAGAATACATCATTTCCTCCTTTATAAGTCAAAGCTGGACAAAGTACAAATCAAGGCTTTTCTTGGACCCATCAGAATACAGGTCACAGAGAAAACCTCAAAATATGAAGAGACTGATGTATCCAGAGAAATACAGATCTCTGAAACTAAAATCTTAGAAACTAAGATCTATTTACCTGAAGCAGAAGTCGCTGGAGGCAGAAACTAAGGGGAACATTTAAATGGTAATTTGGATGAATTGCTGAAGACAGTGTAGACTAGCACAAGGGGAGAGAAACTTCTGGGGCTGCACCCATGATAGGCCTCACACTTTCATGAACTTGCCCTCCAGGAACCCTACCATGTTCTCCTTTTGAGAACCTGAGGAAGATCTTTTTGTGGTCCTGGTTAGGGGTGGGGGAAAGAGACCCTGAGTGATGGCTCTGAGTGATGGAGAAATATACTCAGAGCCTTCTGCATAACAAGCACCTACTCTCCAGGAACAAAGGACTTTGCCAGAGCCTCATCCCAGATGAGAGAAGAAAATTCCTCCCACTCTGGCCTTCTGGCTCCTGTATCACCTAAGGGGGAAAAAAAAAAACATGTCCAAAAGGGGTCAGGGCTCCAGGAACGGTAATGCTGCAGCCATGGGGTAGGCAGGTGGAGGAACAATACCACAGGGGGAGACGGAAACACCTGCAAAGGTCACAGCCCAAAGACACAGACCCGCTGAAAGAGACTTACCCACAACACTATAGAAAACTTTACCTCCCCACAACCTACCACCACAAGCTTCCAGTATAAAAAGAGTAGATGACAGAGAAAAGAGTTTAAGACACAGACTCTCTCTGAATAAACAGAGAAGCTCCAAAGCCAAGAGGAGAGACAAAAACAGACACCAGAAGAACATGAAGCCTCTTGTACCTATAGTTACAACAAACATTAAGCACAGTCCAACTCCTATCCAGATTGACATAAAATCTCACACCAAAGACGATTTACTTCAGTTCTTATTACCAAATGCAACATATCCAGCTTTCAACAACAAAAAAAATTACAATGCATGCAAAGGCAAGGAAAAACACAAAAGAAACACAAGGGAAAAACTCTTTGTCTAAAGAGACAAAGCCATCATGAGAATGACACTCAGATGAAACACAGATGTTGGGATTATCAGATAAAGAATTTTAAATAACTATGATTACTATGTTAAGGACTCTAATGGAAAAAGCAAACAACATGCAAGATGGATAATGTAAGCAGAAAGATCGAAACTCTTAAGAAAAAGTCAAAAGGAAGTGCTAAATATAAAAAACACAGTGATCAAAATGAAGGATGCCTTTGATAATACCATCAGTAGGCTCACAGAGCCAAAGAAAAAATTAGTGAACTTGAAGACAAGTCAATATAAATTTCTCAAGCTGAAATGCAAAGAGAAAAAAGAAAAAATAATATATTTCTTTTTGAGACGGAGTCTTGCTTTGTCACCCAGGCTAGAGAGGAGTGATGTGAATCTCAGCTCACTGCCAGCTCCACCTCCAGGGTTCAAGTAATTCTCCTGCCTCAGCCTCCCAAATAGCTGGGACTATAGGTGTGTACTACCATGCCCAGCTAATTTTTGCATTTTTAGTAGAGTTGGGGTTTCACCATATTGGCCAGTCTGGTCTCAAACTCGTGACCTGAAGTGATCTGCCCGGCTCAGCCTCCCAAAGTGATGGTATTACAGGCATGTGCCAATGCACCTGGCTTAAAAATAAATTAATAAAAATATAAGGCATCCAAGGACTACGAGACAATTTCAAAAGTATTAGATGTACGCAATTGGAATACCAAAAGGAAACTAAAGAATAGAGCAGAAGAAATTTAAATTAATAATGGCTAAGAACTATCCAAAATGAATGTCAGACACCAAACCACAGATCTAAGAAGCTCAGAGAATACCACATAAGATAAATTTAAATACACACATACACACATGCACACACACACACACACGTACATATAGGTGCTCCTCAACTTACAATGAAGCTTTCTCCCAATAAACTCGTTATAAGTTGAATATATTGTAAGTCAAAAATGCATCTAATACACCTAACCCACCGAACATCATAGCTTAACCTAGCCTACCTTAAATGTGCCCGGAACACTTAAATTAGCCTAAAGTTGGGCAAAATCATCTAACAAAAAGCCTATTTTATAATAAAATGTTGAATATCTAATGTAATTGATTGAATACTGAAAGTGAGAAACAAAGTGGTCTCCAGGCTATTCTACAAAAGCCTCTTCAGTGGCAGATCCACTTTACTGGAAGTTGAGCCTGAAGCATTATCTTTTACCAACACGTAACTTCCATTTTAGACATCATTTCTATAGTAAAATCCATCCCATATTTTCAGTTGCACATCTCCAAACAAGAGCTATGTGGGGAGGGCTGGGTAAACAAAGACCCTGGGTATTTATTTACAGGGATATATTGATGTGCTCATCATTTTCCTGAGAGGACACCTCAATACACCTGACCAGGTATCTCTGAGTCAAACTCTGTAGATCAGTAAGTGTTTTAGAATGATGCCATGAACTGAAACTACTCTCTATTTTAATACCACCTCACCATCCTCAAATACGGTGAATGATGTAAGTCAGGGACTGCCCCTACCAAAGTCCTGATAATAACCATGGTTTAAAAAGCCACCCAACGGGTTCCTAAATCTCTCCTGCCTGTGGGGAGCCAGGATGGTCAGGGTGGCTGTTCTCCCCTGTAACAGTGACACCACATCCCCACAAGATGTTGGCTTCCTGACTTGTCTGCCTGAAGTTTGATTTCTCACAGACCAGCAAGTTTTCCAGATTAACTCAGTACTCCACTAATACATGCTTCTGAAACGGGAGTAGGCACAGACTCAATTCTGTGCAGGGAGGATGCAAAGAGCAGAATATCCTTGGTCCATCTTTCTGGAGGGTCAACTTCACTGGAAGACTCTAAATAAAAATATGTAAGTAATTTTTAAGGATGCAGGACAAGATGGCTAGACGCAGCCAAGAAGTGCCACTCCCACCAAGAGAGACGAAAATATGGAGTAAACCAACATACTTCAAACACATCTTCAGAGAAAAAACACTGAGAGTTGATAGACAGACAATGCAGACACCAAGGCTGAAGAGGAAGGAAGCTGAGAACCCTGCAAAAGGTTGCTGAGCATGACAGCTAGTTCCTGGCCCTGAACAGCTCCTAGGGAAGGAGTGAGTGAAGTGATGGCAGGGCAGCCCACTCTTGCTGTGGACCTCTGGGAACCTACATACAAGAGACCCCACAACCTCCACAGACATTTGAATTGGCAAAGGGATCTTACCAGAGAGTAGGCAGAGACAGAGCTCCAACATTAAGCCAGAGGCGGGGTATGCATACAGGGAAGCTGCAGTGGAATATGGCCATAGATGTCCATCCCCTAGGGCCATCTTCTTCTGAGTAGCTCTAACTCCAGCTGACCACTGGTCCAGGAGACAGCAATACCATCTTTCCCACAGGACAGGGGAGCATCTATTATGCAGGCCTCCTGCCTGCCAGCCCCTTCCAAGGCCCCTGCCTGGCTGCTCCCACAGGAGCATGTGCATAGCACAGCCTCCACTGCCTAAGCTGAGTGCTTTGCCAGTGGCCCCACCTGAGTGCTTTTACAGTGGCCTGGGAGCACTTTTGATCCCCCAGAGCAGCCAATGCCAGACCCCAAGGGGCTGGAGGATAGAGCTGCGGGCCCAGTCCCAGCACCCCAGGGTTGCAACACACAGCTCAGGAGTGCTGAGTTGAGATCTGTGAGACAAGTGAGATGCAGGTTTATGGTCCAGCATGGGAGTGGAGCACGCCTCTCTCCACAAGGCCAGTTGGGGAGGGGTGTAGCCTATCTACCAGCCATGACCTCTGCCCAAGGGAGGCTCACAGCCAGGAACATGTAACAGAGGAAATGCATGCACTATACCAGTGATCAGAGAGGGCTCCGCTAAGGCCCAGGAGTGAACCTGGCAAGGGAGTCATCTCTTCCCACCACTCACCACAGAGCACTGTTGTGAACACACATAAATACAAAGTAGCCCTACCACTGAGTAACAACCTATCTGCCAGCCATTACTCTTAAGCACCATCTACTGGATCACAGCCCAAATTACAACACGAAAAATATTCTGCCAGTATACATCAGCTGTGAAACCTAGGACAAGAATCCAGCCACAAATAAAAGTCCTGTACAGAGCCTTGGCCCTCTGAAAGCACCCAGAAATTAAGCCAATTGACTATACTCAATTTACACCACAGTTAAACCTCAAAGGCAATAAAAAAAATAAACAAAATGCCCTATCCAACAACAGCAAATCCAAAAAGAAAAAGGAACACCAGCCTTCTAAGAATCAATGCAAGAACTCTGACAATTAAAAAAGTCAGAGTGTCCCCTTACCTCCAAACAAGCACACTAATTCCCCAACAATGGCTCTTAACCAGATTGAAATGACTGAAATGACAGAAATAGAATTCAAAATCTGGATGGCAAGGAAACTCATCAAGAGTCAGGAGAAAGTTGAAACCCAATCCAAGGAACCCAGGGAATCCAGCAAAATGGTCAAAAAGCTGAAAGACTAAATAGCAATTTTAAGATAAAACCAAACTGAACTTCTGGAATTGAAAAATTCACTACAAGAATTTTGTAATACAGTTGAAAGCATTAACAGCAGAATAGACAAAGACAAGGAAAGAATCTCAGAGCTCAAAGACCAGCTATTCAAATCAACTCAGACAAAAATAAACGAAAAAGAATTGTTAAAAATGACAAAACTTTTGACAAATATGGGATTATGTGAAGAGACCAAACCTACAACACACTGACATTCTTGAGAGAGAAGTACAAAGAGTAAGCAACTTGGAAAACATATTTGAGGATATAGTTCACAAAGATTTCCACAATCTCACTAGACAGGTTGATGTGCAAATTCAATAAATAACAGAGAATCCCTGTGAGATACCATGCAATATGACCATCCCCAAGACACATAGTCATCAGATTCACCAAGGAAAATGCAAAAAAAAAAAAAAATCCTAAAGGCAGATAAAGAGAAGTATCAAATTACTTAAAAAAGGAACCCCATCATGCTAGCAGCAGACATCTAAGCAGAAACCTTACGAACCAGAAGAGATTGGTGAGACTATTTTCAGCATCCTTAAAAGAAATTCCCACCAAAAATTTTATATTCTGCCAAACCCTTTTCGAACAAGGAACATTATTAAGGGAATTCGTTACTACTAGACCAGCCTGACAAGAGATTTTTAAGGGAGTAGTAAACATGAAAATGAAAGAATGATACCTGCTACCCAGAAACACATTTAGGCACATATTCCACAGACACTATAAGGCAACTACACAATTAAGTCTACAAAACAACCAGCCAATAACATGATGACAGGATCAAAATCTCACATATCAATACTAACCTTGAATATAAACCATCTAAACAGCCCCACTTAAAAGGCAGAAAGTGGCAAATTGGATAAAAAGACAAGAACCAACTGTCTGCTGTCTTCAAGAGACCCACCTCACACATAACAACATCCACAGGCTCAAAGTAAAAGGGTGGAGAAAGATTTATCATGTAAATAGAAATCAAAAAGAGCAGGATTCACTATTCTTATCAAAGATAAAACAGACTTTAGGCCAGTTGCGGTGCCTCACGCCTGTAGTCCCAGCACTTTGGGAAGCCAAGATGTATGGATCACCTGAGGTCAGGAGTTCGAGACCAGCCTGGCCAACATGGTGAAACCCCATCTCTAATAAAAATACAAAAATTTAGCCAGGTGTGGTGGTGGACACCTGTAATCCCAGCTACTTGGAAGGCTGAGGCAAGAGAATCACTTAAACCCAGGAGGCGGAGGCTGCAGTGAGCTGAGATCATGCCATTGCACTCCAGGCCTAGGCAACAAGAGCAAAACTCCATCTCAAAAAAAAAAAAAAAAGAAACAGACTTTAAACCAACAACACTCAAGAAGAACAAAGAAGGGCATTACATAATAACAAAGGGTTCAATTCAGCAAGAAGACATCACTATTCTAAATATATACTCGCTCAACATTGGATCACCCATATAAAACAAGTTCATCTTGACTTATAAAAAAATTCAGATAGCTGCACAATAATAGTGGGGGTGGGGGGCGTGCTTCAACACTCCACAAACAACATTAGACAGATCATCAAGGCAGGAAACTAGAAGAAATTCTGGACTTAAACTGAATATTTGATCAATTGGACCTAATAAACACCTACAGAATACTCCACCCAACAACCATAGAAGACACATTTTTCTCATCTGCACATGGAACGTGTTCTAAGATCAACCATATGCTTGGCCATAAAGCAAGTCTCAATGAACTCAAAATAAATCAAAACCATACCAACCATTCTCAGACCACAATGCAATAAAAATACAAATCAATACCAAGAAGATCTCTCAAAACCATACAATTACATGGAAATTAGACAACTTGCTCCTGAATGACTTTTGGGTAAAGGATGAAATTAAGTCAGAAAAGTAAAAATTATTTAAAACTAATGAAAACAGAGACATGACATACCAGAATCTTTGGGATACAGCTAAAACAGTGTTAAAAGTTTATAGTGCTAATGCCTACATCAACAAGTCAGAAAAATGTCAAATTAACAACCTAACGTCATATCTAGGGGAACTAGAAAAATAAGATCAAATCATCCTCAAAACCAGCCAAAGATAAGAAATAAGCAAAGTCACAGCAGAACTAAGAGACCCAAAAGTCCATATAAAAGATCAATGAAACCAAAACTTGACTCTTTGAAAGAATAAGCAAAATGGATAGATAGATAGATTAAAAAAGGAAAAGAGAGAGAAGATCCAAACAAGCACATTCAGAAATGACAAAGGTGACATTACAACCAACTCCACAGAAATACAAAAGAACCTCAGAGACTATTATGAACACATTTATGCACACAAATTAGAAAATCTGGAGGAAATGAATAAATCCCTGGAAACATACAACCTCCCAAGATTGAACCAGGAAGAAAGTGAAAACCTGAACAGACCAATAATGAGTTCCAAAACTGAATCAGAAATAAAAAGTCTCCCAACCAAAAATAGCCCTGGACCAGACGGATTTACAAATTCTACCAGATGTACAAAGAAAACTGGTACCAAGCCTACTGAAACTATTCCAAAAAATCA
Source organism: Homo sapiens (assembly GCF_000001405.40). NCBI lineage: Eukaryota > Metazoa > Chordata > Mammalia > Primates > Hominidae > Homo > Homo sapiens. The sequence continues at coordinate 6,154,432 of NC_000020.11, read as the reverse complement.
AAAAGGAAAGACTCCTCCATAGCTCATTCTACAAAGCCAGCATAATCCTGATAACAAAATCTGGAAGAGACACAATGAAAAAAGAAAACCTCAGGTGAATATCCCTGATGAACATAGACACAAAAATCCTCAACAAAATACTAGCAAACTGAATCCAGCAACACATCAGAAAGTTAATTCACCATCATCAAGTATGCTTTCTTCTTGGGATACAAGATGGGTTCAACATACACAAATCAATAAATGTGATTCACTACATAAACAGAATTAAAGACAAAAACTATATGATTATCTCAATAGATGCAGAAAAAGCTTTCAATAAAAGCCAATATCCCTTCACAACAAAAACCCTCAACAAACTAGGCATCATAGAAACATACCTCAAAATAATAAGAGCCATCTATGAAAAACCCACAGTCAACATCATACTGAATGAGCAAAAGCTGAAACTATTTCCTTTGAGGACTGGAACAAGTCAAGGATGCCCACTCTCACCATACCTATTCAACATAGTACTGGAAGTCCTAGCCAGAGCAATCAAGCGGAAGAAAGAAATAAAAGGCATCTAAATAGGAAAAGAAGATGTTGAACTCTCTTCACTGACAATATGATTGTATACCTAGAAAACCCTAAAGATTCTGCCAAAAGGCCCGTAGAACTAATAAGTGACTTCAGTAAAGTTTCAGGATACAAAATACATGTAATAAAAATCAGTAGCATTTCTATACACCAATAACATTCTAGGTGAGTGCCAAATCAAGAACACAATTCCATTCACAATAGCCACCAAAATATGAAATACCTAGAAATACAACTAACCGAGGAGGTGAAACATCTCTTTAAGGGGAACTACAAAACACTGCTGAAAAAAAAAATCAGAGATGACACAAATAAATGGAAAAATGCTCCATGCTCATGGATTGGAAAAATCAGTATTATTAAAATGGCCATACTGCCTAAAGCAATTTACAGTTTTAATGCTATTTGTATCAAACTACCAACATTATTTTTCACTGAATTAGAAAAAGCCATTCTAAAATTTATATGAAACCAAAAAGGAGCCCGAATAGCCAAAGGAATTCTAAGCAAAAAGAACAAAGCCAGAGGCATCACATTACCTGACTTCAAACTATACTATAAGGCTACTAATACGGTTTGGCTGTGTCCCCACCAAAATCTCACATCAAATTGTAATCCCAATTCCCATGTGTCAAGGGAGAGACCTGATGGGAGGTGACTGGATCATCTGGGTGGTTCCCCCATGCTATTCTCATGACAGTGAGTGAGTTCTCATTAGATCTGATGGTTTTACAAGTGTTTGACAGTTCCTTCTTCACACACTCTCTCCTCTCCTTCCTGACACCTTGTGAAGAAGGTATTTGCCTCTCCTTCACCTTCCGCCATAAGTTTCCTGAGGCCTCTCCAGCCATGTAGAACGGTGAGTCAATTAAGCCTCCTTTGTTTGTAAATTACCCAGTCTTGGGTAACTTAAAGCAGCATGAAAATGGACTAACACAGCTATAGTAACCAAAACAACATGGTACTGGTATAAAAACAGACACATAGACCAATGAAACAGAACAGAGAACCCAGAAATAAAGCTGCACACTTACAACCACAAGATCTTCAATGAACTGGACAAAAATAAGCAATGGGGAAATGACTCTTTATTCAGTAAATTGTGCTGGGATAACTGGCTAGCCATATACAGAAGAATAAAACTGGACCTCTACTTATCACCACATAGAAAAATTAACTCAAGATAAATTAAAGATTTAAATGTAAGACCTAAAACTATAAAAAACCCTAGAGGAAAATCTAGGAAATACCCTTCTCAATATTAGCCTTGGGAAATAATTTATGGCTAAGTCCTCAAAAGTGATCACAACAAAAACAAAAATTGATAATTGGGACCTAACTAAACAAAAGAACGTCCTCACAGCAACAGAAATTATCAAGGAATTAAACAGATAATCCACAAAATAGGAGAAAATATTCACAAATTATGCATCCAACAAAGGTCTAATATCAAGAATCTATACGGAATTTAAATCAATAAACAAAAAACAAATAACCCCATTAAAAAGTGGTCAAAAGACACGAGCAGACACTTCTTAAAAGAAGACATACAAGCAGCCAACAAATATATGAAACAAATGCTCATCAGCACAAATTGTCAGAAAAATGCAAATTGAAACCACAGTGAGATACCAACTCATACCAGTCAGAATGGCTGTTGCTAAAAAGTCAAAAAATAACAGATGTTGGTGAGGCTGTGGAGAAAAGGGAACACTCATACACTGTTGGTAGGAATACAAATTAGTCCAGCCATTGTGGAAAGCAGTTTGGAGATTCCTCAAAGAACTTAGAACTATCATTTGACCCAGCAATCCCATTACTGGATATATATTCAAAAGAAAACAAGTCATTCTACCAAAAAGACACGCACTTGCATGTTCATTGCAGCACTGTTCAGAATAGCAAAGACGTGGAATCAACCCTGGGGCCCATCAACAGCGGATTGAATAAAGAAAATGTGGCGTATGTACACCATGGAGTACTATGCAGTCATAAAAAAAGAACAAATGAATGTCCTTTGCAGCCACATGGATGCAGCTGGAGTCCATTATCCTAAGTGAACTATGCAGAAATAGAAAGCAAAATACTACATAATCTCACTTATGAGTGGGAGCTAAACATTGGGTACACCTGGACATAAAGTTGGTAACAGCAGACACTGGGAATTACAGAGTGGGGAGAAAGAAAGGGAGGCAAGGGTTGAAAACAACCTATTGGGTATGTGCTCCCTGGGTGATGGGTTCAGTCCTATCCCAAATTTCAGCATCACACAATATACCTTTGTAACAAACCTGCACATGTACCAATTCTAAAGTAAAAGTTGAAGCAGAAAAAAAAAATAACACCCTCTATGTCCCATTTCAGTTTGTCTTCATTATGAAAGTGGATTATACAAATTGGGTCATCCTTGTCATACCTGACTAAATCAGAGTTGAGTGGCCAGGGGAAAAAAGCATTTGGGTGATATAGCACCTGCTCCAAGAATTAAATTTTCTACAAGGCCAGCTGCTCAAACAGTCTGCTACAGCCCTAAGACCAGTTTTACCTAGTAGCTGCTAAAACAATCTGCCATGACTCTAAGACTGCTACTCACTGCTGTGGTTTAGATATTTGTCCCCTCCAAACTTCATGTTGAAACTTGATCCCCAATGCCAGAGGTGGAACCTAATGAGAAGTGTTCAGGTCAGGAGGGCAGATCCTTCATGAATAGATTAACGCCCTTCCTGGGCTTGAGGGAGTGAGTGAATTCTCATACTATCAGACCCCTTGAGAGCTGGTTGCTAAAAAGAGCCTGGCACCTCCCCTCTCTCTCTCTCTCTTGCTTCCTCTCTCACCATTTGATCTCTACACACAGCAGCTCCCTTTTGCCTTTTGCCATGAGTGAATGCAGCCTGAGGCTTCACCAGAAGTCGAGCAGATGCCAGTGTCATGCTTCTTGTACAGATTATAGAACGGTGAGCCAAATAAACCTCTTTTCTTCATAAATTACTCAGCCTCTGGTATTCCTTTATAGCAACACTAAATGAACTCAGACACTCACCAATCAGAGCTTGCCAGCTCCCAAAAGCTTCTGTAGTGCAAAAGAGTTTTCTTTCAAAACAATATGTAACATTTCTCTTTGTAATAAAACTCCCAATGTGCTCTTGGTTTTTCAGACATACTGAAGGACACGTAGTCTGTGTGTATGTCCTGAACTGGAATTCTTCATTTCCGAAATAAAATGTTAGAGATCTGTCTCTATTTTTTATATTTTGACTTTCACATCATAAATATCATGTATTGTACTCATTTGAAGTTATCTGTAATCCCTATTTAGATTTTTTTAAAGAATGAAAGGCAGAGTGGGCATAATTTCCAGAAAATGACATGGAACAACATTATGCCTGATTATTTAGTTTTCCAGGTTTTTCCTACAGCATAAAGTTATTACAGACAGTTTAAAATACTAAAAAGGAAATACACATTTTATCCAAGTATTTTTCAAGGGAATGCTTAGTTGAAACCCTTCTTTGTAAGATCAATTTTCAGAAAGGAAATAAAAAGTTATACAATAAGATTAGAAACTAAAACTTTGAATTGCATAGGAAAGATTGGGAATAACATAATATAGGACAGCTGATAAGCAGCAACTTTTTAAAAAGAATTTTGTTCTAATTTCACACTAGTCATTGATTTTTATATATGTTATTCTAAAAGATCCATTACATACAATAAAAAAGGTAATATATGGTCTTTGTAGGTTTCATAGATGTGTTTTTTCAGGAAATTTGGTTCCTGCTTTGAAAAGTTTATAAATAGGAAATGATGGGTTACACTGAGCTTCCTCATTGTAGGGGAAATATGTAAAATTGATAAAGCATGATAGGAAAAGGCATATTTTAATTAAAAAGAGGGAAGATTAAAATTAACACATCAAATATTAAGCTAATCTAAGACACTTCTAAATACAAATAAAATGTCTCCTTACTCTGAGAAAAAATTTGAAAATTTGAAAATAAGTAATCAAGTAAGCTCTCTTGAAAGACTGCTCAAAAATACCTGATAAAACTGTGTCTCTCGGCCCAGCACGGTGGCTCATATCTGTAATCCCAGCACTTTGGGAGGCCAAGGCAGGTGGATCACCTGAGGACAGGAGTTAGAGACCAGCCTGGCTGACATGGCAAAACCCCATTTCTACTAAAAATACAAAAAAAAATTAGTCAGGCATGGTGGCACATGCCTGTAATCCCAGCTACTTGGGAGGTTGAGGCAGGAGAATCACTTGAACCAGGGAGGTAGAGGTTGCAGTGAGCTGAGATCATGCCACGGCACTCCAGCCTGGGCAACAAGAGTGAAACTCTGTCTCAGGAGGAAAAAAAAACAAGAAACAAAAACACCTGTGTCTCTCCACTTCTAATGCAGGATTGACCATTAAGATGGCACTTGGTCTGATAAAAATCTTTTTTTGTCTGTCTCTTTATGTGGTCTTTCTTAAGTTTATTTACACTCCTGTGAAAAAGTAGATTCTTTCTATAATTTAATTTTCTTCCAAGGAAACAACATAATTAAAGTCTCATCTTTGTGTGATGAAGTACATTAAGCTTGAACATAAAGCCTCCGCATTTCATTTCTGCCTGCTTCTAGGCTTTGGAAATGATTTAGAATCGTCCCACTGTGATCTCTGTTACATAGCAGCAACTGCAGTTTGCTTTATAGACCTTCATTATAGACAGGCAAAGTTATCTCCCTGGGTTTTGCAAATTTAGGCCAGAATTTTAAAACATAAAATCTATTTGTGTTTGATATTCTTCCCTGCCATATCATCAATCCATACAGGCTGTATCAGGGTAGGCTCACGGCCATAACAACTCCTAAATAGCAGCACCTTAATGCAATACAAGTTTATCTCATTCATATAAATTCCCAAACAAGTATTGTCCTTCATTAGGCATCTCCTCCAAACAATGGGGGGTGGGCCAGAGGAGTCAGGCTCCTTCACTCTCTGCCACCTTCAGCACCTGGGCCCTAAAAGTCCTTTGTGATGGTTTATTACACCACAGCCTGTAAGCTCCCCCTCAACCCAGCTCCTGGCCACTCACCACCTCTGTAGTGAATTCTTATAATTTTTGGTTGCCTCCATATCCATTGTAAATATAAGTTGAACTTTCTCATACAAGGAGCAGTGTTGTCACTCTTGACACAGTCTCCAGTTCTCTTCCCACTTCCTCAGTACAGTTGATCCAGATATCTGCCTTATGCAACCACCTCCTGGTGAGCACTTCCCTGGGGGACAGCAGGATACCACCCAATTGACTCTTCCCAAAGACCCCACAGCGCGTGCTTATGACCACAGTGACCACCTCTCAGCTGCAGGGTGACCCCGCCTAAATCATGCCTGCTTGCTCTAAACCCACCAATTAGAATTCCCCATGGGAAACCTGCCTGGGTAATGCCCTGGATCCCAACAAAAGCTTCAGCCCTCAGATTCCTCTCCCTCGCCCGCTCCCCACCCTCTGGTTGAGGGTGTGGTTCCCAGCTGGCTCCCCTTCCCATTGGCCTGGAGAGGCCTGCTGCCCTCCTCTCTGGCGTCTGTAAGTAGTAAACATGTCTTCTGTTAGAGCATATGTTGTGCTGTGCTGCCCTGTGTCTCACAGGACTGGCACACCCAAACAGAATTCTCCTCCCAGCTAGAGCTCTCCTAGAGTGCGGCGTCTTGGTGGAAATAAACTGGACACAGGTCAGACAACAGCCACAAGATACCGCCAGGATAAGCAAGGTAAGAGGGACACCTGGTCACGACTGGGCACGGAGGTACCAGGCCATCCACTAGGATGAATTATCCTGTGAAAGGCACACTTTAAACATCCACAACCACCTCCCCAGGATCCCTGTCAGGGCAGTGCTAGAGTTTATAACCACTCTCCAGAGAGACAGACCTCATCTGAGTTAGAAAGAAATCACAACCACCACACACCACTGAGCTGCCTGCTCCAAAGCTACCAGGCTGTTTCACACCATCGCCTCTGCCAGGCAGGTCCCTCTTCCCAGATATCTTCTTCCCATTGCATGGGCCCCTTCCTCCACCGAACTCTCACCCATTCTTCTAGATACAATTCATGCTACCTCTGCAGGAGGCCTTCCTTATTCATTATCCCCAGGCCCAGATGGGGACTCTGCACTTTCCACATTGTATAGGAAGGATCTTGTTCTGGGCCAGATTATCTCAGCAAACCCTGAGTTCCACACAGTAATAGCTATCCCCAACCGGCTAATGTGTCAAAAATTATCCAAGCTGATTCACACTCATGAATTTGTTTGATCTTCACAACAAATTTGTTGTGAAGTTTTGTTGTAAAGATTTGTTGGTCTTCCCATCGTGTATCCTCAGTTCCATTTTACAGATGAGGAAACTGAGGTGAGGAAGGAGAAGTAACTTGATTAGGGACCTGCAGCTGGCAATGACAGGCAAGATTCAAATTCAAATCTACCCAGAGTTTGTTGTCCTCTATGCCACAGCACATCTTGGTTTTGTTGCTTTTTCAAAAAGCCCTGATACTGTTAAGATATCAGAGATACCTGGAGAAAACTCCACTCTAAAAATGCACTATTCTGACATTGGGTAAAAATTAAGGAAGTCTGGCCAGGTGCAGTGGCTCACGTCGGTAATCCCAACACTTTGGGAGGCAGAGGTGGGCAGATCACTTGAGGCTAGGAGTTCAACATGGTGAAACCCCATCTCTACTAAAAATACAAAAATTAGCTGGGCTTGGTGGTGCATGCCTGTAATTCCAGCTACTTGGGAGGCTAAGAGAGGAGAATCACTTGAACCCAGGAGGCAGAGGTTGCAGTGAGCTGAAATCATGCCACTGCACTCCAGCCCAGGTGACAGAGCAAGACTCTGTCTAGAGAAAAAAAAAAAAAATTAATGAAATCCAAATAAAGTATAAACTTTAGTCAATAGTAGTATATCAATATTGGTCCACTCGTTGTCACAAATGTACCATAGTAATGTAAGACATTAACATGAGGGGAACCTAAGTGTGAAGTATACAAGATCTCTCTATACTATCTTGGCAACTTTTCTGTTAACCTGAAACTATGAAATATTCTGAAATTAAAAGTTTATTTTTAATAAAACTGTTCCAGGCCAAGTGGGTAAAGACAGAATTTCCACAAAGAAGAATTTTATTTCTTTGCTTTAAGACTTCAATTACTATTAAGTAATTTTATTTAATTAAGGCTTTAAGTAGATTAAATAAAAATGAAAATTTCTAGATATAAGTCTTGTCGATCATTTGCATTCTGTATCCAAATGATCTTGGTTTCTTCTCCTGGTATCAATTTGCTCACAGAAATTTTTTTAAAGGAGCAAACAGACAGGGAAATGGTGTAGTAGTTTTAAAATATGTCCATAGCTTCTTTAATACTACTTCCTTTAAGAGGTGGAGGAAACCGGAAGCCATGTTGTGAGGACACTCAAGCCACCCTGAGAAGAGGCCCGTGTAATGAGGAAATAAGGCCTCCTGCCAAACACCAATATGGACGAGAAGCCTCCTGCCCATAGCCATGTGAGTGTGCCAACTTGGAAGTAGATTCTTCAGCCCTGGTCCAGCCTTCCAACAATGGCAGCCCCAGCTGACAATGTGACTATAACATCATGAGACACCCAGAACCACAGCCAGCCAGCAAAGCCAGTCCAAAATTCCTGACCCACAGAAACTATAAGATAATAAATGTTTACTGAGCTGCTATGTTGGAGGAGTTTGTCATGCAGCAATAGGCAAATCCTTAATTCACCGCCTCCCCTACCTCCACCACACATGGAACTATTCTTCTCTGATCTTTAGGCTCAACACAGGGGGTTTCTAACTGTTTTGTGCCACTGACTTCTTTGTTGATGCATGGGTTTCCTATGGCTGCTATAACAAATGATCACAAATTCAATGGCTTAGAACAACACAGATTTACTATCTTGCAGTTCTGGAGGCTAGAAGTCCAAACAAGTCTTGTGGGGCCAAAATCAAGGCATCAGCAGGTGTTTCCTTGCCTTTTCCAGCTTCCAGAGGCTGCCACACTCCCTGGCTTATGGCCGCCTTCTGTCTTCAAAGCCAGCAATCACTTTATTCCCATCTCTGTTTCCATCACCACATCATCTTCTCTGACTCTGACCCCAACTCTCTTGCCTCCCTCTTTCACTTATAAAGACCCTTGTGGTGACACTGGTCACACTTTGATGCTCCAGGATTAATCTCTCCATCTTAAGGTCAGCTAATTAGCCACCTTAGTTCTATCTGCAACCCTAATTCCTCCTTGCGACATAACATTAACATTTCACGGTTTCTTGGGATTAGGACAGGGACATCTTTGGGTAGCCATTATTCTGCCTGCAGTCAGTTTGGTGAAGCCTGTGGACCCTTTTTCAGGATAACACTTTCAAGTGCATAAAATCACAGACATATGACTCCAAATGAAACTAATTCCACTGAATACAGTTACTAAAATACTTTAATGCAGTTATTAAAATACTTTAAAAACAAATGTGTGATGTAGTAATACATGTGCATCTTTTTTAACATACTAGAAGATCTATAATTGAACTGGTAACTACCTTAATTTCAAAGTGGAGATGAATGTACAGATTCAAGATTGTCTGCAATAAAATGTTCAAGATTGTCTGCAATAAAAAGAACTAAGCTGGAGGCATCACGTTACCCAACTTCAAATTACACTACAGGGTGACGGTAACCAAAGCACCATGATACTAGTACAAAAACAGACACATAGACCAATGGAACAGAATAGAGAACCCAGAAATAAGCCTACACACCTACAACTATCTGATCTTTGAGAACCCTGACAAAAACAAGCAATGGGGAAAGGACTCCCTATTTAATAAATGGTGCTGCAACTAGCTAGCCATATGCAGAAAACTGAAACTGGACACCTTCCTTACAACATATACAAAAATTAAGTCAAGATGCATTAAAGACTTAAATGTAAAACCCAAAAGTATAAAAACTCTGGAAGATGACCTAGGTAATACCATTCAGGACATAGGAATGGGCAAAGATTTCATGATGAAGTCACCAAAAGCTATTGTAACAAAGCAAAAATTGACAAATGGGATCTAATTAAACTAAACAGTTTCTGCACATCAAAGGAAACTATCAACAGAGTAAACAGACAATCTACAGAATGGGAGAAAATTTTTGCAAACTATGCATCTGATAAAGGTCTGATATCCAGCATCTATAAAGAACTTAAACTTACAAAAAAAAAATCAAGAAGTGGGCAAAAGGCATGAACAGACACTTCTCAAAAGAAGACATTCATGCAGCCAGCAATCATATGAAAAAAAGGTCCAGGTCACTGATCATTAAAGAAATGCAAATCAAAACCACAATGAGAAACCATCTCACACCAGTCAGAATGGCCATTATTAAAAAGTCAAAAAATAACAGATGCTGGTGAGGTTGCGGAGAAAAAGGAACTCTTTTACACCATTGGTGGGAGTGTAAATTTGTTCAACCATTGTGGAAGACAGTGTGGTGATTTCTCCAAGACCTAAAAACAGAGATACCATTTGACCCAGCAATCCCATTACTGGGTATATATTCTAAGGAATATAAATCATTCTATTATAAAGACACATGCACACATATGTTTACTGCAGCACAATTTACAATAGCAAAGACATGGAATCAACCTAGATGCCCATCAGTGACAGACTGGATAAAGAAAACGTGGTGCAGGGTCCGGGCGCGGTGGCTCACGCCTGTAATCCCAGCACTTTGGGAGGCCGAGACGGGCGGATCATGAGGTCAGGAGATCGAGACCATCCTGACTAACACAGCGAAACCCGGTCTCTACTAAAAATACAAAAAAAATTAGCCAGGCATGGTGGCGGGCGCCTGTAGTCCCAGCTACTCCGGAGGCTGAGGCAGGAGAATGGCGTGAACCCGGGAGGCGGAGCTTGCAGTGAGCCAAGATCGCGCCACTGCATTCCAGCCTGGGCGACAGAGCGAGATTCCGTCTCAAAATAAAAATAAAGAAAACGTGGTACATATACACCATGGAATACTATGCAGCCATAAAAGCAAATGAGATCATGTCCTTTGCAGGAACATGGGTGAAGGTAGAGGTCATTACCCTTAACAAATTAATGCAGGAACAGAAAACCAAATACCACATGTTCTCACTTATAAATGGGAGCTAAATGATGAGAACATATGGACACATAGAGGGGAACAACACACACTGGGGCATATTGGAGGGTGGAGGGTGGAAGGAGGGAGAGAATCAGGAAAAATAACAATTGGATAGTGGGCTTAATACCTGGGTGACAAAATAATCTGTACAACAAACCCCCATGGCACAAGTTTACCTATATAATGAAACTGCACATGTGTCCCTGAACTTCAAACAAAAGTTTTTTTTAAAAGATTGTTTACAATAATATAATATAAAAGTCTGAAATTTCTATTGGCAGCATAGTCCCAGGTACTACTGTTACTGTGTTTGTTGCCTGCATTTACAATCAAAGGAAATACTAATTTTCTGTTAGAGGCTAGTGATTTTTCCCCATGTGAATTCACACTGAGTTTGGCTTAAGATCTTACTTAAAACCCTGTAATCAAGGCACTTACTTCATTTTTTAAAAATAACAGCAGTGTGGTGGCTCACGCCTGTAATCCCAGCATTTTGGGAGGCCAAGGTGGATGGATGTCTTGAGCCCAGGAGTTCGAGACCAGCCTAGGCAACATAGGGAAACCCTGTCTCCACAAAAAAAAAAAAAAGCCAGGCATGGTCGCGTATGCCTGTAGCCCAGCTACTTGGGAGGCCAAGGCAGGAGGATTGCTTGAGCCCAAGAGGTTAAGGCTGCAGTAAGTTGAGATGGCACCACTGCACTCCAGCCTGGGCCACAGAGTGAGACTCTGCCTCCAAAAAATAAATAAATAAATTATGCTCCAGAAAGTTAAAATGGAAGGGCACTATCCTTCTCAAATCCATAGAAACCCCCCTTTTTCAACTCAATTCAAATGTTACTAAGCACCTATTGTGTACAGAGACCTTTGTATGCTCAAAATGGGCAAGAGAAACAACAAAAGTAACGGGAAGTCGGTGACAACATAAAAATAAAGCAAGGATTCTAAGAATTGATATAGGAAAATCTGTTCTCCAACTTAAAAATTGACATATTTATGTTCTAAATCTAATGAAATTAAACCAAGGTGGAAGATAAGGAGGGTTATAGGATTTACAAACGTGACGACAGCGACATCTAGTGGGAACCATTGATAAAGCACCTCTAGTGTTTTACTGCAAAGAGGCATGCACAGCCAGCCACGTTCATGAAATATTTGCTACACCTATTATAGATTAATATCGAGTCAGGCCCTGGCCGGCAGCCCATCCGTCTTCTTTTCTCCTCGGGCTGCATCCCACATCATGAGTGGCCTCATGCACATGCACCTCAGCCAAGTCCCAGATAGAAAGTAGGTAAAGAAAATTATTCTGGCTGTTTTCTCTAACACAGACTAATTGGAGATTCCGTGCCAAAGTAAAAAGTCATGCAGGTATTAAATGAACAAACCTAGGCAAGCGATATTTTTCTGTAAGAACAAAGAAAAACATGTGTACTGAAGTAGGCTATGATATTGAAGACCTAGGGTAGGGTCATTCAGTTCCACAAACTGCTTCCACGTTCTCATTCTCTTGGATCATTCATTTTTCCTTCCTTCACCAAATCCAGCGTGCTTTACAGGTAATGCAACAGCAGTGAGAGAAAGGGGGAGAGGTGAAAGGAGCACGGATTGTGTTTGAAGGAAAGTGAGGCCCCCTCGGCCACCTTTCAGGCCAAAAGTACACACATTTATGTCCTACTCCTAAGGACAGGTTGAAATCTGGGTGGTCAGAGTAAAATGGCTGGAGAAGATCCCGTGCAGTTCCTGGAAACATGTTCAGGGTCATTTGCCCAGGGAATTCCTGAGTCCCAGGTACAGGTACCCAAAGTGAGGTTTAGAAGAGCAGAGGCGGACTCCAGGTGAACACTGTCCTCTGCCTGATGGTCTCCCTAGTCAGTGGCACGGATGTGGCCAGAAGAAGTCCATTGCAAGGGGCCTCTACATTGTGGGTTCTTGCCAAAATCTAAGGGTAGTACTGCTCTTACCTGTCCTGCCTTTTTGCACATTTCCTGGTTGGGACCATTTTTATGATGGCAGCCAACGGTTTAAGCATGTACGTAGTGTGTGTGGAATAAGAATGAGAGAGACAGACAAACCACACATGTCTTTCTAAAAGCCCTCTGTCAGCCAACATGTCTTAGACTTCATTATGCACAGCAATCCCCTGGGACCTTCTTAGAATGCAGATTCTGGCTCAGTGGGTCTGGGGATGGGGCACCAAAACCTTCATTTCTAACAGCTCCCAGGTTGATGCTGCTCAGGGGCCAGTGGCAAGGCTGCAGTAGACATGATTTTTGTCTGCCCAGCATCCCATTTTTTTTTTTTTTGGAGAACTCACTCCTCTCCTATTCTACAGAAAGCCCACTCAGCCTGTGTGGTTTGTTTGAGGCTGGTTCCACCTCCCCAAGAGTGGGCACGTGCCTCCAGCCAGGCTGTGAGAAGCCTTCCCAGGACATTGCAGAACAAATCATTGTCTCCAACTGTGCGGTTTTATTGGGCTGGAGCTGCTGTAGGTCATCCTTTCCACCAGGTGGGGCCAGCCCGAGAATGATGCCACCACAGAGGAGAAGAGAGCCAAAGATGGCAGGAAAGAGGCAGGTCTTGGGTGAATCTCTGGATCCAGCCATGCCTCCAGACTTCCCAGCTATGGCCAATAAATTCCTTTTCTTCCTGAGCTAGTTTGAAATGGGTCTCTTCATTTGCAATGAACATTCTTTCTGATTTCACTCTTGATCTAATGAAAGATGAGGATGGAAGCTGATTTCCAAGTGGAGAAGCTCCCTGCCCCCATTCTAAGGTCCACCATTCCCAGAAGCCTGCCCAAGCCCTCACATCAGCAGTGAGCCCCCTGCACTGAAGCCCATCCCTCTTGCTGCTTAGTCCCCTTGTTTGGAACTTTTCATTTACACCAATAACAAATCATAACCCCACTTACATAGCATTTTCCAGTTTCAAAACCTTTTTCAAATATATAGTCCAGACAAGAGCTAAGCTGCCTGGGTTTAAATTTCATCTTCGCCACTTCTTTTTAATTTTTTTAATGTTTGCAGCTACATAGTAGGTCCATATATTTATGGGGTACATGAGATGTTTTGATAAAGGCATGCAATGTATAATAATTACATCATAGATAATGGAGTATCTGTCCCCTCAAGCATTTATCTTTTGTATTACAAACAATTCAATTATACCCTTTTAGTTATTTTTAAATGTACAATTAAATTATTATTGGCTATAGCCAGCCTGACACTTCTTAGCTATACAACGTTGAGCTGGTTACTTGGCTTCTCTGTGCCTGCACTGCCTCATTTGTAAAATGGGGATAATTGTGACTCCTGATTCATGGGGCTGCCACTGTGTTTGGTTAGTTAATATGTGTTACAATCTTTGAACAGTTCCCAGCTCATGGTAAGGTCTATGCAAATGCCACTATTACTATAACTATCAGTATTGTTATTATTTTATCCCCAAAATAAGCCCTCAATATCAGCATTATTTTTATCCTCATTCCTATTTTGTCGATGAGCAGACTAAAAATGATGGTGTGACAAACTCATATAGTGAACAATATCACTGAGATAATTTCAAGTCATCTGAGTCTATATTCCTAACAACAATCTTCCCCAAGCTGTAATATGTAGACTCTTATTATGCTGTCTTGTGTTATTTTATTATTTTATTGCTATACCAATTTAAATGTGTATGTCCTCTTGTTAGCTAAATTATAATCTCCTTAACACTAGGAACTCTGATAAACACATCTTTAACTTGGAGCCAACCCAAATGCCTGTGAATGACAGGCTGGATAAAGAAAATATGGCACATGTACACCATGGAATACTATGCAGCCATAAAAAAGAGTTCATGTCCTTTGCAGGGACATGGATGAAGCTGGAAGCTATCATTCTCAGCAAACTAACAAGGAACAGAAAACCAAACACCCCATGTTCTCACTCATAAATGGAAGTTGAAGAATGAGAACACATGGACACAGGGAGGGGGACATCACACACCGGGGCCTGCTGGGGGCTGGGGGACAAAGGGAGGGAGAGCATTAAGACAAATACCTAATGCATGTGGGGCTCAAAGCCTCGATGATGGATTGGTGGGTGCAGCAAACCACCATGGCACATGTATACCTATGTAACAAACCTGCACATTCTGTACGTGTATCCCAGAACTTAAAGTAAAATTTAAAAAAAAAAAATCTTTAAAATTCCTTAGCAAGTACCATGATAACACTAGAGAGTAAACAGATACCCACTGACTGGTAATATTTAATAGGATAGAAATATGTGTACATTAATCCTTTAAATAGAGCAGTTTACAAAACAATAAAAACATGACACTCCATTATTGCCAAAAATACTTTTCTATGTATGTTTGTCTACATGTAGACAGGAAAAAATAACTGAAAGAACTTATATCAAAATATTAGCAAGGTTATCATTTCTGGGTAGGGAGCAATGGATAACTTGTTTCTGCATGTCAGGGACTTTAATTAAGAGGCTTCCAAAGACTCAACAACTGGGAAGTGTGGGGTGTGAGGTTTCTTTGACCTCCACCCTCCCCAGTGCTACCTGAGGGCTGTCTGGGTCCCAGCAATCACCTTACCTGGGAAGACTGAGGGAATCTTCTTGAAGCTAGAGTCTGTATTTGTTCATAACCTCCACATATGCCCACCTGCCCCAGTGTCTCTCGGTTGAGTCCTAAGCTGCTGGACTGAACGCCCCACCTTCCAGACATGTCATAAAACTGCCTTTTGTTTCCCTTTGGTGTCTTCTCAGTAAAGGACGGTCAGAGGGCCATAGAAACAGCTTAGGGTTCCTTTGGGAGCTCTCCCAAAAAGTGAGTAGAAGAATACAGGTGGTCCCCTGAGGAGAGGGGAATGGGTTTCCACACAGGGCTCTCTCATTGGGCATTCTTAATCTTCCACCACCAACACACCAGTTTTTTGTTTGTTTGTTTGTCTTGAGACAGGGTCTCACTCTGTCTCCCAGGCTAGAGTGCAATGGTGCCATCACAGCTCACTGCAGCCTTGTCCTCCCTGGACCAAGCGATCCTCCTGCCTCAGCCTCCCAGATAGCTGGGACTACAGGGGTGCACCACTGTGCCAGGCTAATTTTTTTTATTTTTTGTAGAGATGGAGGTCTCACTACATCACTTAAGCTGGTCTTGAATTCCTGGGCTCAACTGATCCTCCCAACGCAGCCTCCCAAAGCGCTGGGATTACAGGCATAAGCCACTACACCCAGCCAACATGCATCTTATAATACAAGAAAATACATTTTAAAAGCAAATACTTATTTAATATTTGCTTTAAAACGTTGTCAGGCAGGTTGTAGGTGCTCATTTGTAGATAGTTAGAAAATATCCTCCGAATTGTTTGACTGTCTCCATCCTGCCAAGCTTAGAGGTGTTGAGAATATTCTTTTCCTAGTATTTGTTTCCTATATACTAGTATTTCTTATATCTTTTCCTGGTATTTGTACGTATTTCTTTGGGAGTCCTTAAAATTCAATCAACTCTAAATTATCAATTCTGGATCCTTCAGTCTACAAAACCTCTCTGTTTCCTGGGATGATTTTCTGCCTCTGCTAGAACAGCTCCAAGAATCTGCAAAAATAGTACTTAAGGTCTCAATTTCTTTTTTTTTTTTTTTGAGACCAAGTCTCACTCTGTCGCCCAGGCTGAAGTGCAGTGGTGCAAACTCAGCTCACTGCAGCCTCCACCTCTGGCTTGAATTTTCCCAGGAGTGAGAAGTCTCCTGGGAGAATTCAAGCGATTCTCCTGCCTCAACCTCCCGAGTAGCTGGGACTACAGGCACTCTCCACTATGCCCGCTAATTTTTGTATTTTTTTAGTAGAGTCTGGGTTTCACCATGTTGGCCAGGCTGGTCTCAAACTCCTGACTTCAAGTGATCCTCCTGCCTTGGCCTCCCAAAGTGCTGGGATTACAGGCATGAACCACTGCGCCTGGTCCTTAACTTCTTTTTAAAAATGATTTTCCTTAAACATTTCAATGAGTCAAAACTCAGAAAATGACAGAGTGATTCTGCCCTCTTTATCATTTAGCAAAAATTTGTTTTGTGCCTACTGGGTAACGGGCTCTGAGGATAAAGTGAGGAATTGAAACATACACTCTTCGTGCCCTCCAGGATTTTAGAATCTAGTGGACATAAATCCCACTCATCTCCGGAAGTGATGTTCTTTTTCTCCAACCCAGTTATCTTTCTATGCTAAGTGCTTTGTACATTTTCCAAAATCAATGCTTTCAAGCACAACAAACAGAGAGGGATTTCAGGAAAAAGGACATTAGGAGAGAGGGAGAAGAAGCCTCACATTTTATCTTCCTAAGTATTGGTTTAATGTCTGCTTTCACACATGTATGGCAAAGTTCATGAGGGCAGTCTGTCATTTTATCCCCACTTTTATCCATCACTTTTATCTCCAGCACCTAAAAAGTGTTTGGCACTTAGAAGACACTCAGCAAATATTGATTGATTGAACAAATCAGCGAATGAGCCTAGGAATATTGCTAGGCAGGCCAGAGGTGTTCATTTGTGGATAGTTAGGTAGATGAACAGGTAATACAACAGATAAGTGGATAAACGCAGAGATGGGTGAATTGTGAATGGGAGAGTAGAAGGGTAAATAGGGCAATGGGTGGGTGAATGGGTAGGTGAGTTAGATGGATGGTTGGGTTGATGTGTGTCGAGGGGGTGATTCTACAAATGGAAAGACTCAGTATAGTGATCTGGATCCTTGTGATAATGTTCATTTTGTAAATAAATTTTAATTTTTTCCAGTGAAAGAAATCACAGAAGCACCACCATGGTTTGGACGTGTTTATGGCATAGTCCCTGGCACACAGGAGGTATGGAATAAATGTTTTCTGGATGAATGGGTGAATGAGAGCAAATGAATAAATGAATGAAGAATTAGCTGAATCATGAGACTTCTTTCTCTGTGTTTCTTCTTTAATCCATTTTTCTTAACTATGAATAAGATTAAGGAGGAGAGAAGGGAATAATTAAGGCAGTTGTGTCCTCAATAGTAGATTATCATAGAAACCACCAACCAGCTGCACCCTCATGATTAATTGCAGTGCTGTCCACAATACCTAAGACATGGAATCAACCTGGGTATCTAACAACAGATGAATGGGTTTTTAAAAACGTGGTATGTATACACAATGGAGTACTATTCAGCCACAAAAAAAAAAAAAAAATGAAATCCTCTCATTCATAGCAACATGGATAGAACTGGAGGATATAATGTTAAGTGGAAATAAGCCAGGCACAGAACAGAGGATACTAGAAGCTGGGAAGGGGAAGGAAAGGATAGGGAGAGATTTGTTGGAGAATACAAAATTACAGCTAGTTATTCGGTTGGTGCCAAAGTAATTGTGGTTTTTGTTATTAAAAGTAATGGCAAAATGAGCAATTACTTTTGCACCACCTAATAGATGGAATAAGTGTTAGTGTCATATAGCACTTAGAATGGTCTTCAGCGACATGTTTAAAAACAAAAAAAAGTAACTATAAAGACAAGAATATATTCTATAATTTCAAGTAGCTATAAGACGGATATTGAGTGTTCCCAACACAAAGATATGATGTGTTTATGATTATGGATATGCTAATTACCCTGATCTGATCACTATTCATTATATGTATCAAAACATCACTATGTACCTCATAATTGTGTACAATTAGTGTATGTCAACTTAAAAATTAAAACTTTTTAAATAAAAAGAATCCACCAATTGCCAGATCACACACACACACACCCACTATCATAAACACCGACTGCAGCCTGCCCAGGACCCCTTCACCAGGCTGACGCCCCCTTCACCAGGCTGACGCGCCCTTCCCTTCCGCTTTATATGCTTCTGTGTCTGCATCTTTTCAGAGCTGCATCCTTTATCCAACAAGACCCCTTGACAGATGGGCACCGCCTCCCCCGAAAGGCTATAACTTTCCTCTCTCCTTGAGGTGGCCACAACCACTGACTGACTGATGCAGGGGTACAGAAGGCCAGCCCATTCATCTCAAGGAGAGATTGCTCTACAAGCCCAAGCTAGACTTTACAGGAGTCACGCCCTGGCTTGGTTCCTTCCCCTGCCTGTCCTGCTCTCCTTGCCCACTCTCCCTTGAGAGCCATCAATAAACCGCATGCCCCTGGATCGCCGTCTCAAAGCTCTGCCTCTAGGGAGCCTGACCTAAGGCAGTTCTTTAACCCCGTTACCATGATCTGCATAACGTTTTCCAGACATAGAGTAAAGCTCAGGCCTTTGTTGCTATCCTTATGCTGTAACCAGGGGCCCCATTTCTCTCTCCTGTGACAGCAACATCACCAAGGGTTCCAGGGTGGGATGTTTTCAGGAGGGGTGTAACGGAATGACACAGCAAAGGTTGCTGCCTGGGCATTAGAAGTAGAAAACCACACCCAGATGGCCCAAGCCAGTAGCTGGGGATAAGAACTTCACCGTGTCTTTCCAACCTAGCAGAATAGACTCCCCGCTTTCCTGCCACTTCCATTAAATGGACCATTCAGACATTTGCCTGTGAATTTCAAGTGAGCCACATCCTATTCCCTAATATATATTGTTCATTGCTGTACGTGCTCGCTCACTCTCTCTTTCTCTATCTCTTTCTGCCTGACTCTTCCTCTTCATTTCTGCTTTTCATGACCCGAGGCTGGAGGGCCTTCAGGGCCAGTAAGTAATAAATCTTTGGATTTATTTCCTATCACGATGGCGTACTGAATTTGCACCTTCCGTCTGAACCAGGAGCTACTCCAGGCCAGGTTTTGCCTGGGGTGCCAGGGAGAACATGAGGGCAGGCTCCCAGGCCAGAGCAATCATCAGTCAGGCAGAAACTGGACACAGGTCAGCAAGAGCTGCAAGGACATCTGCCAATATAAACAACTTTCCCACGTGAGGGACACCCTGGTAACAGTCGAGACAACTAAGCATTAGGCTATCCACCACGTGAAATAAGTATCCGATGCAAAACACGTGTAGACACCCATGCTCAGCTCCCCTCCATTTCCTGGCAGGGCTGCTAGCTGCTCTGGTACTGGAACCCCAATTTAGCTGGGGGCTGTCAAAACAAAGGGTCCATGCTACCTCATATCCAGCACCATTGCTATGTTGGCCTATCTCTTAGAAAAGTCAGTGTGAGGGGTGTGGAGGGGGCAGGGTGTTCTGAAGCCATTACTGGGCACATTCATACAGACGAGTACTTTTTCTATGCTTTTCAGCAGTTGTGGCAAAGCACATCAGTACCACTGCAGGGTTACTGTGTGGTAGACCACCCATACACAGACCCTGAGACAAGAATTTAAAGCGTATTTGGGAGGTGATCCATCCCAGGGTGTATTAGTTCATTTTCATACTGCTATAAAGAACTGCCCAAGACTGGGTAATTTATAAAGGAAAGAGGTTTATTTGACTCACGGTTCAACATAGCTGGGGAGGCCTCAGGAAACTTACAGTCATGGCAGAAGGTGAAGGGGAAGCAAGGCACCTTTCTCACGAGGCAGCAGGAAAGGTGCTGAGCGAAGGGGAAAAGCTCCTTATAAAACCACCAGATCTCGTGAGAACTCACTCACTATCATGAGAAGAGCATCAAGGAAAACACCCTCATGATTCAATTACCTCCCACCTGGTCTCTCCCACAACACATGGGGATTATGGGGATTACAATTCAAGACGAGATTTGGGTAGGGACTCAAAGCCTAACCATATCACAGGGAGCACCTGAAGGAGGTGGGGAAATGAGATAGGGAAAGCAAGAAGCCAGTCACAGGTGTGTTCATGAGCAGATTATTGCGGTGGACAGCTGGGCTCCAGTCTCCAGGAAACTCTGGGGAACTGTGAAGAATTAATCTCAGAGTTGTTCACCCTGTGGACAAGGATGCTAGGGTATTGATTCACCAACTGCTGTATCTCATTGGCTAAGGGCTGCTCCTGGGGGTGTTAATTTCTCCAGTATTTTGTCCTGCTCTGCCTTTAAGCCAAGAAACTTCCTAGCTAGAGACCCCTTCAGACAGAGAGCTGCAAATATTTGCCATTGACAGCTGTAGGCATGAGGGAATGGGGGTGCCATGGGAACATGGTCTACCACACTCACCCATGTATCCCTGCAGGTGACACACCACACTATCTTCTTCATTCAGACACCTTAGTTGGTGATACAGGTGCAGGATGAGAGGGATCCAGGAGTCAGGATGAGGAGTGGGGGAGGGAAAGCTCCTCATTATAGAGCAGGCCTATGTTAGGGCAGTTGAGAAGGAGCCAGAAATGGCTTCAAAGGCACAGAACAACCACTCACCCACTGGCACTTCCAGCCATGTGGGACTTGGACCAAAAAGTACCCCATGGAGCAGAAAGAGCCTGCGTATTTCCCAATCATCATCCCAGGTCGTGAGGCTCCAGCAGCACACGTGGGTTGGTGGGTTGGTGCTGGGGCATCTCCTGTTCTTGCTGCCATCACCTAGTCTCCCTAATCCTGGCCACAGCCTCTCTTTACCCTTTGGAGAACCACTCACTCCTGCAAATATGATCCTGTGCATGAGAACATAACACAGGCTGAGCCCCTCAGATGTCTGCTCCTTGGAATTTGAACCTGGAGCAGAGGGATACTGTTTGTCTCCAGAGATGCTGTAACAAAGACCATGGACTGGGTGGCTCCAAACAACAGAAACTTTGGGAGGGTGAAACTGCAAGATCGAGTTGTCAGCAGGGCCCTGCTCCCTCTGAAACCTGTAGGGGAAAATTCTTCTCTTAGTGACTGAATGTTTGCTATCATGTGTTGAAATCTAATCCCTAATGGGATGGTATTTGGAAGTGGAAGGTAATGTGGGCAGAGCCCTTATGAATGGGATCAGTGCCCTTATAAAAAGAATCCAGGCTGGGCGTGGTGGCTCACACCTGTAATCCCAGGACTTTGGGAGGCCAAGGCAGGTGGATCACCTGAGGTCAGGAGTTCGAGACTGGCCTAGCCAACATGGTGAAACCCCATCTCTACTAAAAATACAAAAATTAGCCAGGCATGGCAGTGCACGCCTGTGGTCCCAGCTACCCGGGAGGCTGAGGCAGGAGAATCGCTTGAACCTGGGAGGCGGAGGTTGCAGTGGGTTGAGATGGCGCCCTGCACTCCAGCCTGGGCAACAGAGCGAGACTCCGTCTCACAAAAAAAAAAAGAATCCAGAGGCCTGACTCACTGCCTTTCCACCATGTGAAGATGCAGCAAGAAGGCAGCGTCTGCAACCTGGAAGACAGCCCTCATCAGAACCCCGCCCTGCTGGCACCCTAATCTTGGACTTCCAAGTCTCCAGAAATGTCAGAAATAAATTTCTGTTGTTTATAAGCCATCCAGTTTATATTTTTTACACCAGCCCAAGCTGGCTAAAACACCTTCCTCCATCTTGTAGCTTCTGACGTTTGCAGCCAGTCCCTGGAGTTACTTGAGTTACAGAGGTATCACCCCAGTCTCTGCCTCTGTCACCATGTGGCTGGCTTTGCCCTGTGTGTCTCAGTCTCTTCTCCTCTCATAAGGACGCCAGTCATATTGGATTGGCATCCACCCTCCTCCAATATGACCTCATCTCAACCTAATTATATCTGCAAAGACCCTATTTCCAAATAAGGTCTTATTCACAGGTACTGGGGGTTAAGATTTCAACATATCTTTTTGTGGAACAAAATTCAACTAATAACAGACATGAATCCTGAAACCATGCAGAGCCCCTTCATCCAAAAAGAGCCCCCTGGAGGGGATTCCCTTGATTTTCAACTTGCCTTAGTTCCTGTGCTTTTCAAAGTCTACTTGGGAGATTTTCCTTGATTCTGTGAGCTATATCTCCATATCCTTATCATAAGCTTCTTTCATTTTGTTTTTTCACCCTCTTAAGACAGAGTCAGCCACATAAACCTACAAAGCTCCCCCAGGGCTTCATATGCACATTATAGTTTGAAAAGCCTTGAACTACAGTACCTGAAAATGTTTTGTAAGCTGTAAAGCAATAAACACATACATTATCGATACTTTATTTTCAGTTGTTTGCTGTATCTTCCTGCCCAATTTCACTTACATGTCAAAAGCAGTATCCCAAGGGCCTGGTAGAGCACTTGGCACAGTCCAAATATTTAATACAAGGCAGTGTCTGCTAACAATAAATACTAATCTTAGAGGAGCTCTGACCCATGGCTGGAGAGAATATTAATAGGTACAATCTTTCTGGCAAGAAATGTGGCAATTAACCAAAACTTCTTAAATACACATAACCTTTAACCAAGTAATTCCACTCATACGAATTTGTCTTAAGGAATTAATTAAGCACATGCACAAAGATTTAGCACAGCCTTATACTGGGGGGGTGAAATGGAGATAATTCAAAAAAATAGGCTCAGTGGAAGTAAGATAAATCATTTGTATCCAAACAAGACAAAGCTCACATTGCATTAGGTATTATGGAAATATATTTATCACCAGTACACTGGCCAAGGAACACTCCTGTAGTGTTATTTAAAAAAAAAAAAAAAAAAAAAAAAAAAAAGCTATTTTGTTTACCCTTCTGCCTTTTGAGACAGGAGAAGGGGTATTTATTTTCCTCTCCTTGGATGAAAACCAGGATAGCTTTCATGAGACATCTGGGCTCTCTTAGATCATGAAAAGTGCTCCAGACACTGCTGGTCATTAAAAAAACAGAAAGAAAAAAGAAAAAAAATCAGTTTGGTAATGGTTAGTCCAGTTCAATGTAATCATTAAAATATCAATCTTTACTCAAAGTTAAAATTTCTCCTTCCTTCAGCTGTTGTTGCCACAGCCTGCCTGCAGTGCTAGTTCCTAAAGGATGGGTAGGAATTCTGCAAGAGGAAAGGAAGGGGGAGAGCAGTCCAGATGGAAGAACGAACTGTCCAAACAAGGAGGAAGACAACAAAGGGCACACCATCCTTAGTGATGCTGAGGGAAGGGGATGCCCTCACAATGGCAACACAGTTTCAGAAGCTGCCAGAAACTCAACCTATCAAAACTAAATAGAATTGGAAATAGGCAAAAGAGTCTATGTGTGTGTAAAGTCTTGTAAGCCATTGAGGGCAATGGTTTGGAAGTTAAATGGGGATAAATTCAAATCCTAACTTTGCCATTTAGTAACTAGGTGATCTTGGGCAATTTGCTTAAACTCCCTAAGCTTCAGTTTCCTCACCTGTAAGGTGAGGAAATACTCCTAGTTTATGAGGATTAAATGAGATAATGTATGCAAAGAACTAGGCACTGTACCTGGGACATAGAGAGTGCTTACAAGCGGTAATTGCTGAAGGCTGCCTGGGCGAGACAGAAAACTGCAAGTTTGAGCTCATCAACCTAGCGCCACCCCCACCTCCACCCCTACACCCACCCACTACAGATCAAGAACTGTGCCATCTGCAATTCCTACTATGTAGTTGGGGTTGCCCCACTCCAGGAACCATCCGCTTCCCAGAACAATGATGCCAAGGAGGTGGCCTTGGGAGCCACAGGGCAAGACTCAGGCCCAAACTGGACTCAGAAGGAAAAACAGACACTTCCTTCACGTAAGTGCTTAGAAAATGAAGACTTCCAGAGACCAGTGGGAACTGGAATCCACAGAGCCCTTCCAGGAAGCTCTTACTTTTCTAAAGTAAAGTTGGGATCTTCCTGAGATACTGGAGATTGGGCAAGCAAGATCCAGTAATGACAAATTACATTTCTCACCAGCCCACTGGGGGGAGGGGAGGAGTGCTGGGAGAAGGAGTGGATATCAAATATTTTTGAAAAATTATTCAATCTGAACAGTGCCACACCCCTCTCCTTCCCATCCAGCCTCCCATTCCCCAGAGGCAACTATTTCTAATTCTTTTTACTCTATCTTCTGGGTGTTAAATCTATATCTCCATACAGTCCACCCTCGTAACTCAAAATTTCATATTTGTGAATTTACCTACTAGGTAAAATGTATTTGTAACTCCAAAATCAGTACTCACGGTGCTTTTGTAGTTGGTAGCAAAAACATTGAGTCACCTCTAACGTGGATGTGCCCAGTGGAGGTGGAGCAAGGCAACATTCTGTCTTCTTGTTCCTGCTCTCATACAGAGATGCCCGGAGGATGGAGACTGAGAGCAGTGTAGTGCGAGAAGCTCCAGCACGGGAGCCACTAGGGCAGGGTTCGAATCCCAAATCTGGCATCTGTTAGCGGGGTGGCCTCAAGCCAGTCACTTAGCATTTCTAAACGTGGAAAAAATGTTTAAATAAAACCTAGCTGGGATCCCATTTTTGTTTATGTTAGGGGGGCTGGTGAATATTTTATTCTATGGGGTATAATCCATTACTACCATTATATATTTTGCTGCTCCCATTGTCCCAGACTGGCCCATAGGATCTCCTTTCAGGTGACTCCTGTGTCCTTC
The DNA here is from genome assembly GCF_000001405.40 of Homo sapiens. Classification (NCBI taxonomy): domain Eukaryota; kingdom Metazoa; phylum Chordata; class Mammalia; order Primates; family Hominidae; genus Homo; species Homo sapiens. The sequence goes on along the minus strand of NC_000020.11, from coordinate 6,129,254 downwards.
TGACATGCCCCCATGGGTTTTCGATGACGTCTTCATTGTCTGGCATCACAAGGTGTTCCAGACTCATCTTGTGCTTTTCCATCCCACTTCTAGAATCAACCATCTCCTCAAGGCAGAGCAATCTTCCCGTGGTGAAAGGCTGAGTATAGAAGAGCAAACCAAAACCACAAGCAAATCTATTTCAAGCCTCTGCTTGTATCACACCTGCTCATTGGCCAAAGCAAAAGACATGGCCAAGACCAAAATCAAGGTGCAGGGAAGTCCACTCCACTCCAATGGGGGGAACTGCAGATCCCATGGTGAAAGGTATGAATGTGTAATTCCAGTTTAGAAGGTGTGACAAAGTGGGGAACAACGTTCCTATCTCTCACTTTCCCCTTACTTCCCGGACTTTATTTAAAGCATACTGAACTATTTGCTGGGCTACAAAAAGTATAAACCTGAGTTGCCCTCAAAACAACCATGCTAGCAGTTGTATCCATATTCTAAACCCAGTAGTCAGGTAGAAATATAGACAGCAGCAGACACCCATAATAATTATAATAATTTATTAATATAAATCACAATAGCATTTTGAAGGCATGGGACACATACACGGGCTCTTTCATTTACTCTCATAATAGTGCTATTATAATAAGGGTTGTATTCATTTCCCTTCAATAGCTACTTATGCCAGCTTTGGTTTGAATAAAGTGGTAGTTTGTTTTCTCAGCCCAAATTTTGGGCTCTCGGTCAACTTGGACCTCCAGCTGCAGCAGAGGGCCCCTCCTGGCAAAGCAGTTTCTCTCCTTACCTCTCTTGTCAGCTGGAGGACTCTGGTGTGGGTATAGCTGCTCTATCAAGACTGCTGAAAGAGCAAGAAGTCATCAATGTAAACCAACATTCTGAATGCTCCCCACTATTTCCCCTCTTATCACAGCCTCACTCAGCTTGCAGTGTGCATCTTCAAGTATTGTATATAGTAGTTGAAGCAAAATTTTGCCACTGCATTACAAGAGTCACCAGCTTTCCAGCCTGTAATGTGTGTCCCCTCCTTGCTCAAAGGCCTGCCTGCTGCACTTAGTCAATTCTACTTTTAGTGTTGTTACTTGTAGCATCCCACTTCCGGTAACACGTTCTTTGTCAGTAAGAGCTCTTAGGCACAAATAACAGAATCCACTATGGCTAGCTTAAACAGAAAAATAATTAGGCAAGTCGTCATCATCATCATAGATGACAGGGTCTTGCTCCATCATAGTGGACACAACCTGACAGGACAGCAGGAGGAAGAGGCTTGGAGCTAAGCACCAAGAACAAAGTCTGAAATGATGCTGTAGGACTAACACGAGAAGGGAGTCACCATTGAAGCATCTGAACCTGACTTTACTGCACCTGCTACCACCACCCACTAGCCCTGACATCACTTCTGCATTGGGACTTTAACCTTTCAGCCTCCAGAAAACCATCGCCACTGCCACTACCACCACCATAGTCATTCCTGACACCACTCACATCAGAAAAGATGGAAGCTCCAAGTACATCCTGTCTCTGCACCTCACTCACTTTCAAATTAAAGTCATTCCTGAGTATCTGAATGACACAGCCTAGGTCATAGGCCTGTGCCCTCGCTGCAAGCGAGGTTGGGAATTTGAGTTCTGACTTCTAGACTGGGATTAAGACATAAAGATTTCCACAAATATTAAGGAGGCCATTCCAAGGATGATGGGCAGCCATGAGTATGACTGATATTTGCTACAATCATCAAGATATTTTCAAGTTAGAAAAGCAAAATGCAGAACAATATGTATAGACTACTATCACTTGCATAAGAAGCAGAAATTGTCTACATGCATAGACTATCTCTGGAAGGTTTCAGGGGAAACAGGTAACTATTATCTCTAGGGAAGGGAACTCAATAATCAAGGATGGGAGGAAGATTTAATTATCACTGTATACTCTCTTGTACCCTTTGATTAAGAAGGATGCAATCTAAGGAAGGAGAACAGGGGATGGAGGAGAAGAGGGATGGAAGGAGGGAGGCACTGTGTTTCTTGCTTCTCTCATTCTCAAAGGTGGGCTCCAGCATGGCCCCCAGCAAAGCCATTTTTACTCTTCTTTGCTCTTTGTCATTCAGCCCTGTAAGTACATTGAGACACACCCTTTTCACCCTGGCAAGGAGAAAACTTTAGAACTTGCCTGGGCATAGAAAGTGCTCATTATCCATCCAGTTGGGGAGGAGGGTGTAGCAATAATAGGCACATTCTGCTTCTTTGCACTCAGCAAAATGTATTCACTGCACACGTGAACACAGCTGCCATTTTGTATGTGCCAAGG